>NC_000003.12:161887392-162190422 GCF_000001405.40 Homo sapiens
CCATATATACTTGCCATATATATATATATATGGCCATATACTTGCCACACACACACATATATATATATATATATGGCCATATAATTGCCATATATATATATATATGGTGACCTGTGCAAAAATGTGTGCATGTTATCTTAATTTTAGTGGCATTGGACAATGTTAACGTTGTATTTCAATTAGAATATGCACAAAGTATATATAGGTAATATAATAGGCTGTTCTCATGTTGCTATAAAGAAATACCCGAGACTGGGTAATTTGTAAAGGAAAGAGGTTTAATTAGCTCATGGTTCTGCAGGCATCTGCTTGGCACCAGCACCTGCTTGTCTTCTGGTGAGGCCTCAGGAAGCTTTAACTTATGGAAGAAGAAAAAGGGGGAGCCAGTATCTCACATGGCAAGAACAAGAGCAAGAGAGAGTGAGGGGAGGTGCCACACACTTTAAACAACTAGATTACAAATGCAAGGATAGCACTAAGCCATGAGGGAACTGACCTTATGACCCAAACACCTCCCACCAGGCCCCACCTTCAACATTGGTGATTATATCAAAACATGAGATTTGGAGAGGATGTCTAAAAGATATCAGCTAAGATAAGAAATGTATTTTGTTTTTAAAGGTAATTTTTAAAGAATGAGTAGAATATTTAAAAGAAGCTAAATAAACACATTTTACCTTTTAAAAAATATTTCAGATATTTTTTCAAGAAAAATAGAGTCTTTTAGGCTTCTTCTAAAAGATTGTTATCTTGTTTATTGTTCTAATAGCATTCTTGATTGATAGTATAAGCTTTCTAGTTGAATATAAAGCAGAAGCCTCACTGAATGGACGTGGTAATTGGATTTTATTTAAACATATTTAGTGTATTGATATTTTATGGTAAATGAGCAATTTATAAATAAAATGAACTGAGGCTTATGTATTTCTTTTTATATTTGAGGAAATATATTTATTTTATTCATATTATCTATAATAAAATTAATAGTTTCCTGAAACTAAACTTTCCCTCTGATGTATTTCCTGACATCCTGTCAAATGGTTAAAAGAGTAGTTATTGTGTTAATTACAGATGAATGAATGTGCTGTACCACTTTAGGTTACCCAAATCACCTGCAAGGGTCTTTTACTAAAATAGAGAAAAAATACACATTTGGATTAAGTGAAGAGTTGTTTCTTCAACCCTTGGTTAAGAATCACCTGTCAAATTAGCCTCTTTTTGTCCTTTCTTTATTCCTATATTTTATTTCTTTATTGAGCTCCTACTTTATGGATGGTGCTGTTTTACTTGTTGTGAGGTACAGAAAAAAATATAAAATTCTAGTCCCTGTTTACAGCGATTTTCTTCCTACTCCCTTGGAATGTTCCCTAACAGAGTGCGTAGCTGTGTGTATCAATTTCTTCCTACAAAGTCTAACCCTTTTTGTACTAAGTTCTCCTCCATGAATTTTCAGCTTAACCCCATTAATTTGCATATATCCTTATTTAGGATTATTTCTTTTTAGCATTCCCCAATTTCTTAACTCCTCTTCCCTTACTAGGGCTTCTTCAACTTCCAATCTCTATGTCTAACTTCTCCTTAGAACTTTAAAATTCCATAGTAAACTGCCTATGTGACACATTCACTTTTATCCAAATTCAATGTGTTCACTGCAAAGTCTCCAACAATCTTGCTAGAGTGATCCCTGTCTCAGTAAAGAGTATCCTCGGCTACCCCTTATCCTTAGCTCTATATTCAATCCACGTCAAAACATAAATATTTTACCTCCTAAATATCTCTTCAGTTTTTCTGTTTATCTCTATTTTTATAAGCACCATCCTGTTCCAAACTATAATTGTCAAGTGAATGATCTTATATATGCATTGTGGCTGCTAAGCATTCTGCCTATGTCTAGTTTTTCCATCCTCTACTTTATTGTGTAGTCTGTGTAATCATTTGTATGCATAAACGGCTTAAACAGTTTTATTTCTTCCAAATGCTCTTTCTTCAAAGTCCCCAAACCCTAACATATTCTAGAAGGGCCTATGATTTGGATGTTGCCTACCTCTCCTACCTCGTCCAATGCCACACTTGCCTTTGGTGCCATAAATAGAGTAGTCTCCTTTTATCCATGGGAATATGTTCCAAGACTTCCAGTGGATGCCTGAACCCGCAGATAGTAAAAAACTCTCTATACATTGTTTTTCTTCTATACGTACATACCTATGTTAAAGTTTAATTTATAAATTAGGCACAAGAAGAGATTAACAACAATAATAAAATAGAACAATTATAACAATATAGTATAGTAAAAGTTATGTGAATGTGTATGTATATGTGTATGTGTATGTGTATGTGTATGTGTATGTGTATGTGTATGTGTATGTGTCTCTTTCTCTCAAATGTTCTCTTTTATATGTTCTCATGGCACTTTGTAATCTCCCTTCAGACTTCTTACCCAGCTTGTGATTGCACATTATCTGTGTGATGTGTGTTGGCTTTATTTCTCTGTCTGGTACTAGACACAAGATTCCTAAGGACAGGGATTCTCTAATTGACTCATTATTTTATCTATAGTTATAGATGAATGTTTTTTATGTGTAGAAAGAAAATACCCCTTTTCCTTTCTAATCCAGAGTTTACTTTTCTTGTTCCATCACAGATTTTTTCATGAATGGTTCAGTATACGCTAGATATTTGGGCAATTGTTATTTTTCCTTTCCTCTTATCCTTTTATGGGATTTTTATGAAGCACACTATTTAGACAGAGGTTGCAGATCACACAGCATGGATTTTTTTTGTTGTTGGTTTTAATTATGAATAATCTCATACTGATGCAGGATATTTTCTTGATCCCTCTGTGGGACTCACAACAGGAATGCCTTGTTTACTCAGCCTGCCCTGCTCGACCCCATGTGGGAAGGAGTGTGTGAGTCAACAAGTGTGGGAACCAGTGCAAGCAAGTGTAGGTGTGGCCAGTGGCCTGGCAAGAGCACACTCCATTCACTCCAGTCTGCCAGGCTCCACCCCTTGTAGGAGGTAGCCCACAAATGAAGGAGTGCAGGAACCAGCCAGCCACTTCAGCGCCTGTGGGAGTAAACTCTACCAACAGGAAAAAACTCCATGCAGTCTTGGCAGCTGTGTTACAATACTCTCTTATCTCCACCATCTGCAGACTGTAGTGTGTTATCAGCTCAGTGGGCCCTTTGCCTCATTTCATGGGGTGGCTGCCCTCTGCCAGTGAGGGCAAAGCACCAGTGTGACAGCCTTTTTCAAAACCGGCACATGGTGCATCCTGAATTCTTGTCTGGTGCCCAGAGGAATGAGGTCAAACAGATTAATTGAAGGATGGTGAATGTGGAGAATTTTATTGAGTGATGAAAGTGGCTCTCAGCAGAGAGGGGAGCTGGAAAGGGGATGGGAAGGAAAGGTCACTATCCCCTAAAGTCAAGCCACCTCTCTGCCTCTCTCTTCTGAAGTCAAGTTGCTTCATCTAGCCACTCTCTCAAAGTCACTTCTCCCTGGCATCCAGCAGCTTCTTCCTGTTGTCCAACTGTTTCTTCCCAATGTCCAGCTGCTTCCTCTCTGCTGGCTGAGTCTGGGGCCTTTATAGGCACAGGATGGGGGTGGGGCAGGCTGTACATAGTTTTGGGAAAGGCAACATTTGATTGGTAAAAATACATTATTCATAAAGAACCAATCAGGAGAGAATGGGCACACAGGGATGAAAGTTCTCACTTTGGGCCACAGGTTTCAGCTTTTCGGCTCAAAGGTGGGGTTTTGTCAGGGACTTGCCCCTGTTTGCCTAGAGTTTCTCTACCCCCTATCTATCAATACCATGGATCTGATGTACCGCAAGGCAACCATCTAGCATTCATGCCACGTACAAAGGATCTCAAAGTCACCAATGAGCAATATTACACAGATGGCATGACATCTTCACTGTGCTGTTAATCAACAGAATTCTGTGGCCCTTTTAAATAAAACTCTTTATGATGGGTGTCATTGTTCTATGTTTCCCTCTTGCTCTGGCAGAGGAACCAAAACTAAAACTGCCTTTGCAAAAATTGTAACTGAGAAAATTATGATACTGAGAGAAATCTGACATGGCTGACTCCATCTTGTCTCTAGCCTTACAGCTTGGCTATCTTTGCTCATCCCTGTGTGTGGACCAAACTACTTTGGGAGAAATTTAATTTATAGTTTAAATGATAATAGCCCTTCCCCCAAACTAAACTGTTCTTGTAAAGTTAATGAAAGGCCACCAAGTTAGGATGAGAGGGTTTTGAATTCTAAATAATTACCAGCCATTATTCGAGAGGCCATAAGATTTGCAACTTCCCCAATTACCCTTGAACACAACATCATAATTATAGAACCTAAATTGGTCTTTTGAGATGTCTTTTCAGGTTTTTGCATTTTTGACAACTGGATGGCCTCATTTAGATCTGCCAACCAGTTCTGTCCCCTACCTCCCACCAGGAACAGACTCAATATAAGGGGACAGTTTTGATTCCCTATGATTTAATCTCCAACCCAATCAACGAGCATGCCCCCTATCCTTCCCCCCTACCCACCAAACTATCTTTGAAAAACCCCTAACTTCCACGCCTTCAGAGACACTGATTTGAGTAATAATAAAGCTTTTGTCTCACATGCAGTTGGCTTTGCATGAATGAAACTCTTTATTGCAATTCCTCTATCTTGATAAATCAGCTCTGTCTAGACAGCAGGCAAAGAGAACCCATTGGGCGGTTACAAGTTCAACATAAGTGAGAGATCTAATGAGGAACTAGCCAATAAACAGAAGATGGAGTTACATCTGTGTATATCAGTGTGTGAGTAGTGTGGATACTTGTGAGGAGTTACTGAAGAAAATAATATAGAGGTAGAGGCTCTAGGTACCATCCACTACTCCAGTTCTGGTCAGAAGAAGAGTAGATAGCTGTTTCTGTAGAGTGAACTAAGAGCAGATAGACAGGCATCCTGTTCCCAAGAATCTTTCAAAAATATGTATAAAGAGTAGTCTTAAACTTCACCATTAATGGTTTATTTAATTAGTTCAAATATTGAAAATGCCTTTTGGAGAGACAATGAGTTACATATTTATTTTCCTAACATATATGTGTTCATAATTTTCCCCACTTACAAGAGCAATTTCATAAAAAAATCTTGGATAGAGAGTGGAGGGAGGGGTGGAAAAGGGGAAGGAGAAAGGGCTAGAGAGGGAAGGGAATAAGAGGATAGGCAAGGGGAAGAGAGGAGACAGAAAGGAATGAGAAATAATGCAGAAAAGGCATGCAGAGGCAAATGGAGAGCCCTGAGAAAGCCTGCCTAAATTTGCCAAGAACAGGTTCTGTCTCAAGGTAGTTTTCTCCTTTTCTCCTCTCCATATCCACGGTTTGTGTAGCCAGGGGATGGGGTTAAAATGCTTACAAAAAAGTACAGCAAGGCTCTCCTAATGTAGGGGCTCCTAGTGACCTGTACGTTAGCACAGTTGAATGCCACACATGCACACGGTTACACACCTGATGACATAGTGAATAAAATAACTAGATGTCTGTAAGCAAAAATATAACAAATTCACAAAAAAAAGAAAAGGAGGGAAGGAAGAGAAAGAGTGAAGAGAGAGGGGGTAACAGCTACTTTGGCATTAAAGTTGGTTTGTGAGTATTTTAAATAATTCAGCCTTTTAGCTTAAGGTATTCCACCCCCTCATTATTGCTTTTCAGGACTAGAAGACAGATCCAGGAGCAATTCAATCCAATTAGAAGGGAAAAGAGAGATTTTTTCTGGCAATTGCTATGCAAATGTGTGTGTCAGAAAATAGAAAAGGTGACACTAAGCAGCCACATTTGCTTGTTGACAACACAATTTCTCTTTACGTTCTGTGTTTCAAAGCATTTTAAAAGAAACCTTAACCTAATAGAAAGAGGTTCTAGGTAGTCCTCCCAAGGTTAGTGCCAGCTTTCAGCATTCCCTCCAGAAGTACAAACTGGGCCAGGTAAAACTGCCTGGGGCCGCCTCCCCCGTCAACATCCTATTCAATAGTCATATTCATGTTTTCAGTAATAGGAATTGCTGGTGTGTGACACTTTTTGAAACTTTTGGTATCGTGGGCTTATAAAACATTTCAATGGGTAATAGTGTCAGACAGTGGTAATGAATCTTAGTGGAGAAAACTGTTTCTGAATTGGAGCATCGCTTAAAGGTATTTCAATTTAGTGTCTGCTCATTAAAAGTTGTACTTGGGCTTCCATTCCTTATCTATAGTTTTAAAAATAATCATGTTACAAAAGCCTGAACAATTAGATTTTCAGTGTTATGACCCCATACCCTGACCCCATCTAAACTTTTTCTCAGCCCATTGTGTGGGAATGAGGAGTGGTGAGGGAAGAGTAGGAAGATTGGAAAAGCAGAGAACTCAGAATGTTATAGATGGAGGGAAACTTGGATGGAGATTGGCATCTCTGGAGCAAAACTCTGAGGCCAAGAAGCCCAGAGAGATTAGGAAATTATCAAAAATATTTCAGCTAATTATTTGCAGACAGGAATACAAGGTCATATGTTTTAATCCTACTTAGCTCCAGGGCAAATATATTCTTTCAGTCCTGGTTTCCTCCTGCGAAACTAGTCTCTCAGAAGCAAGCAAAAGAATTTTTGCACATTCATGGATAAAATGGAATATTGCAAGTACAACAGAGCATCTGGATTTCTATAAACACTAAAACTGGAGTAAGGCCAACAGATAACTAAATGAAAAAAAAAATCCTGAGTGCTTACTATGAGCCTGGCAAAGTTTTAGAGATGTGACTCATAGTCAAGCAGGAGATACAGATGTAGATGTGAAAAAATTGAAAAATGTAGAGTACTGCAAGATGAAAAATAGCTTGGAGACTTTGCCTATTAAAGAATAGCCACTAGAAGTAGGTATTGAAGGTTCTCATGAATTGAACTAAGAAACACATTTTTTAAAAAATGTACAACCAGTTTGGTGGGTTTTTATGGACTGCTAGCCATTCCTTTATTTTCAGTATTAGACTGAAAACAAAAGTGTAGCTACTTTAATATCCTTTTCCTCTTCCCTGCATAGAAAATGTGGTTATATAATCTCAACTGCAGTGATGCTGTGACCTATTTAATGGAAACTACATGCATAAGTGATTTCTCTGAGTCTTTTTTCACTTCAACCTTGCATGGACATTTAGCAAGAAATATTTATAGAATATACTGTATAGCTCTTTGGTTTATCAAGTAAATACATTTTGTATTCTACAAATATGTTTATAATATGGGCAAAAAACTGATTAATTCAGCCACCTCTTTCTGCTTCTTTTAGTTATCCTGTGAAATTTTTATTAGTGCAAAACTTTTGGTGACCAAGACTTCAAATACTTCTGGTTAAATCAATGTAAAAGGAAGGAAAATTGTACAGACCTCTGTAGCTGACAATCCTGTTGCAGTGGAATCAATCCTGGGATGTGAGCCCAAAATTTCTTTACAACAGAGCCAGGATACATAAGCAGTTCAATTGAGCAGTGAGCAGAAATGAAAAATGCTAGTGTGGGAGGTTTTTTTTTTATCAAGTACAGGTGATTTCAGTCTGGGCTTTTAGCTAGCATTTAGGGTCTACACAAGCAAAAAAAAAATTCTGTATATGCACAGTCTACTTTCATGGATACAGTTATTGCAGAGCCTACATTTGATAAAATTTAGCTCTCAAGTAAACAAGAATAATTTGACAAAACTTAAAAAAAAGGTTGATTAATATATTTCTATAGTGATATTTATACCTACATCTATATCATCTCATTATTGAGCCTTTTAAATAGTAAGTCATAGCTTCTATATAGGGTGGTCCACAGGAAAAAAACTTTGGCATTTGGGATAAATTAGAAATTATTTTTAATTTCAAAAAATATTTGTTAGAAATTTTGTTAACATTTTATTTCATTGTTTATTCTGTACCTATGCTAAAAGTAAGTAAATAGCCTGTAAGCATTTTTAAAAGTTTATGTAAATATTTTTATTATTATATCACATGTGTATTTCTAATTTTTAGGTAATTGGTTTTTTAAGTGAGAATGTGATACATACATATGTGGGTATGAATGATTTCAGAACCAGTTAACATAAAACATGACAACTTAATCAACTAAGGGGATACTTTTTGTAGACAAATGAGTCTCACACTTTCATGTGTATATGAATTCCCTAGGGATCATACCAATATGCTGATTCAGATTCAGTAGGTCTAGGGACAGGCCTGAGCTTCTGCATTTCTATAAGCTATCAAGTGATGCTGCTCCTGCTGGTAGTTACACATTTGGGAGAGATCTTAGCTAACAAGAGGTCAAGGCTCTGGCTTTGATTTGCTCGCTCCACCATGTCAGAATCAGAGTCTCTGTGATTCTTTTGCTCTTTCTAAGTGGCTACAAGATGTTTACTCCAGCTCTAGCCATCGATCTGCATTTATGGCAGGAAGAGAGGAGAAAGAGTAAGGTCAGTGCCATGCAATCTATCTCTAAATGACTTTCTTTCTTTCTTTAAAAAAAAAAAAAAAAAGAAATGAATTACCTGCCCTGCTTGTTCTTAGGGGGACTAGGAAATCAGGAGACAGGATTGTCATGACTGGTGTAGATCATTTAAGATCCTCACTTTAGGCTAGGCACATTGCTGTCCTGAAGAAAACCAAGGAGTCCTTTTAGGAAGGAGTGAATGGGTATTAGACAGCAATTAACAATACCCACCACAATGAACATGAAAACGCCTTTGCAAAAATCATAACTGAGAAAATTATACAGTAAAAGATATTAGACCTACCTGACCCCATCTTGCTTCTAACCTCTAAACTGTCCTTGTTCATTCCTGGGCATAGGCCAAACTAGCTTTGGTAAGAAATTTAGTGCATATTTTAAATAATAGCCCTTCCCAAAAGGCTAAACTGTTCTTAGAAAACAAATGGAAGGCCACCAGGCATCAAGTCAAGAGGAGCTGGAATTCTAGATATTACCTGCCATTATTCTGGAGGTTATAAGACTTGCAACTTCCCCAATTACTCTTGAAGGTAACATCACTATTGTGAACCTAAGATCAGCCTTTTGAAATGTCTTTTCAAATTTTTGCATTTCTAACAACCAGATAGCCCCACCTGGACCTGCCAACCAGTTTTGTGGCCCCCACCCAGAAACTGATTCAGCATAAGAGAACAGCTTTGACCCCCTATGATTTCATCCCCCAGCCAACCAATCAGCACTCCTGATTCATTGGCTCCCTACCCACCAAATTATCCTTAGAAACTCTGATCCTCAAGTTTTTGAGGAGATTGATTTGAGTAATAATAAAACTCAGGTCTCCCACACAGCTGGCTCTGCGTGAATTACTCTTTCCTCATCGCAATTCAACTGTCTTGAAAAATCAGCTCTGTCTAGGGAGTGGGCAAGATGAACCCATTGGGCAGTTACACGCTCATAATTTCTAGGTGTGTTCCTCCAGAAATTTGTCTGTAAACCTACAAATAAATGTATATGTATACTTTTTTCTTTTAAAACTCAATAGATTTCAAAATAACATTTTTAAAATGATGCAAGGTATGATTTTCCCCTTGAATAAACTCAGGTTTGCTGTTTTAACAGGAAGTCTATTGATATTTTGGGGACTTCAACTCAATCTTTATTCAAAGATACATCTTTCCTTTCCCAAGTTAAGCTGCAGCCAGTGGTTTTCTGTCTTTCAGAAAGAAGTGTGGTGATTTTTGCTTTCTCTCCCCACACAATGCCTCCCCTACTTGATAACTATTGTTTTGTGCTTTGACAGCATCTAAGATGGGGAAAGTTGATAAGAGAGAGAAGACAGGACAACTATTGGCTATGTGCACTTTAGTTTAGCAAATGGTAAAAGACGATTCTTGGGGCACATTTCGTGAGTTCCCATTGCTGCACTGCTTTCCTGCAATTCTCTTGACCTGGTCAGATGCCTCTATTTTAGCTGGCTGATTGCAACACCTTTTTCTGGAATCTGGCTTTCACTTCCATGTACTTACTACATGGTCTCACCATTCCTCTAGGTTGTTCTGTTGGACTATAGATAAGATCAAGTCATACTTAGACTTTCTATAGGCAATGCTTACCATAGAAAACATCCAGATGTAACTTGCTTCTTAGAAACTTGAAAGAATCAGACAAAGTATATATTTACTTATTTTCTGCAGCTACAGGCAACATAAATTTTCTCAGATGTGATTAATGCTCTAACTATAAACTCTCCAAGTGTTGAAACTGCCTTTGCAAAGTTATGACTGAGACAGTGAAGGAGATCTAACTTAACCGACTCCATCTTACTTCTAACCTCCAAGCTGTCCTTGTTCCCTTCTGGGCGTAGGCTGAACTAGCTTTGGGAGAAACTTAGTTTATAGTTCATAGTTTATAGTTTAAACAAAGATGATAACAGCCCTTTCCCAAAGCAGACCTCCTTCTTGCCTGGGGACTAGATTGTGTTTGTAGGACTAACATTAGCCACAAGATTAGAAATTATGGTTTAGGAGTCATGCAGCTGGAAGCTACAAGATTCTAACCCTCCCTAAACTGCTTCTAAGATCAGTGCTTGAGATATTTTGCAGACCCTGCACTTGATGGATCAGCTGGCACCACCCAGATCAATAAACTGGCCCATCTGAACTTGTGGCCCCCAACCTAGGAGCTGACTCAGTGCAAGAAGACAGCTTCGACTCTCTGTGATTTCATCTCTGACCAGTCAGCACTCCTGGCTCACTGGCTTCCCCCAACCCACCAAGTTATCCTTAAAAACTCTGTTCCCCAAATGGTCAGGGAGACTGATTTGAGTAATAATAAAATTCTGGTCTAAAACTCTGTTCTCCCGCACAGCCAGCTCTGCGTGAATTACTCTTTCTCTATTGCATTTTCCCTGTCTTGATGAGTTGGCTCTGTCTAATCAGTGGGCAACGTGAACCCCTTGGGCGGTTATAGTGTTCCCAAAACTCTTCATATCCCAGGCTTGAAGTGAAGCAGAAAGTGTTCCATCTTCTCCACCAAAAGATGTAGCGGGCACATGTAAGTGGCAAACATTTCCTTTCAAAAATTCTCTAGCAAATCTTTTAAGTTTCTGATCACTTCTTATATCTTACCTGAACGAGAGTGCAAGAATCATAAAAGCAGTTCTAGACCATTTGCATTACAAATGTTGCACATGGGAACCTGTCTACTTCTTCAATATTAAACTATTGTATTGGCGTCTCAATTTTACCTTCCCTTTATTGATCCAAAGGGCATACTCCATTTCCAGTGTTCTTCATTCTTTTGCATACATCCATATTTCAATTTGATATCATTTTCTTTTAAATAATTTTCTTTAACATTAGTTGTAGTGCAAATCTGTTGGTGATGAATTCTTTCTACAATTTTATGTCTGAAATGGCAATTATTTCTCCTTCATTTTTGAAAAATAATTTGACCTTGAGTAGAATTCTAAGATGATAGATTTTTCTTTCAGTATTTTATATGTTCTGTTCCACTGTGTTTTGGATATGTTGCTTCAAATGGGAAATATACTATTATTCTTTGTTCATCTGCACAAAATATAAGCTTTTAATTTTTTCTCTGTCACATTTCAAGCAATTTGCTTATAGTACTCTTGTTTCAAGTACTAGGGATTTGTTGACATTTTTGGATCAGTGGGTTTATAGCTTTCATAAAATAAGGAAAAATTTCGGCTATTATTTCTTCAAATACTTTTTTGTCTCTCACCTTTCTCTCTTGGACACTCCAATTACATGTTTAGTAGACTGCCTGAAATTGCCTCACAGCTCACTGTTGTTCTTTTCGTTTTACTTTCTGTATTTCTTTTTTTCTATCTATGTTTTATTTTGAATACTTTCTATTGCTTTGTTTTTAGGTTAACTAATCTTCTTATCTGTAGTGTCTAATCTGCTGCTAATACCGACCAATAAATTTTTTATTTCAAATATTGTAGTTTTTATTATTAGAAATTTGATTTGGCTGTATATCTCTACCTAACATGTTTATTCTTCCTTCTGTCTCTTAGAACATATGCAATATAGTTATAATAGCTGTTTAATAACTAGATGAATGTCTACACACTTTGTTATTTGTGTAATTTCTGGGTGTGTTTCTATTAACTAATTTTTTTCTTCTGATTACGGGTTATCAATCCATAACAAGCAATTATAGGGCTCACTTTATTTTTTTCTCTCTCTCAGGAATCACAGTTATGTACTACCTGATGTCTAATATCTAAAAATTATTCTTTTAAATATTTAATCTTTATTTTTAGTTGTTTCAGTTGTGAAGGTAAATAAGGTTCCTTTTATTCTATTTTAGCAAGAAGAAGTTCACATTATAAGTTCTAAATGTATAACAATTTAGTACATCAGCCAGGATAATCTCACATACAGAATTTTGTTTTAGTTTGACACTGTTGGCAAGGGGATTTTCTCTTCTCCAAATAGTGACCTTACATATTTTTATTTTTTTGAAAACATAAAATATGTATAGACACCTAAAATATAATGTAGATGACAAAGGTAGGATTTCACCCTCAAAGTGTATAAAATTTAGAATTTCTTATTTCACCCTTTGGGCAAAATCCCACTCCAAATTATGGGTAGCTACTGGTGTTAAAGGTAAGTGCTTTCTTTAAATTGAAAAACTATGCAAATCTACTTTGAAGGTGCAACGGAATTGACTCCATTTGACCTCAATAATTTCAAAGTCCCCCTGACAAAAAATAGTTGGCTCCTGTGTTAAGAAATCTCTTTCTTAGTCTGGAATTTTCTGTGTCAGAATTAACTTTATCTCAAAAACTTTAGTTCCACAGAGGGGGGAAAAACAATCAATCTTGTTTTTCGTTAAAACATTATACCAAAGTCTCCTATTTATTTTTCTTTTTCTGTTGCTTCCTTTCGTTATATTATAGTGCAATAATCCTTTTTAATTATCTCTTTTGGACAGCCTACTTATTTTGATCATTATTGTTTTTATTCACTACCACATGAAAGTCTCTTAAATTTTAAACTCTTTGAGTGTGCATAGGGGAGGAGTTGGGGCTGGACAAACAGAAAATTGGCACAAAACTTTAGAAAGTAGAAACCTGGAAAAACTACTTTGAGCCTAAATCTCACTAGCGTTTGTCCACCGTGCTGCATCTCTGTGGCTAATTGATCATAAAGTCATTATAAACAAAAGCAGGCTGGGTGTGGTGGTTCATGCCTGTAATCCCAATAATTTGGGAGGCCAAGGTGGGGGATCACCTGAGGTTGGGAGTTTGAGACCAGCCTGACCAACATGGAGAAACCCCGTCTCTACTAAAAATATAAAAAATTAGTCGGGCATGGTGGTGCATGCCTGTAATCCCAGCTACTTGGAGGGCTAAGGCAAGAGAATCACTTGAACCCAGGAGGCAGAGGCTGCAATGAGCTGAGATCATGCCATTGCACTCCAGCCTGGGCAACAAGAGCGAAACTCTTTCTTTGTTTGTCTCAAAAACAAACAAACAAACAAACAAAAAACACAAGAGCAACGAAACCAAACAACAACAGCAAACAAAAGCCTAAACTCTCTAGTCTGGCCAAATGTTATTGCCCCGATGGTTTGACTTTATTTCACTTTTTTTCTTCTGGGTACTACATTTTGTTTATAATCACTAAATTCAGTGGCTATTTTGCCTTAGACCTTAATTTTTTTCAGAAATCACTTTAAACAACCCAAATTAATTGTTTGTAGTTCAAATTCTTTTATTGTCTAAATTTAAGTATTTTCCTGCTTCTTTGCTTCATAACATAGCTCTCATCTGGTAATAATTAGATTATAGTGTCAACGGATATTTTTCTAAAGGAAAAACCTGTAGGTCTTTTGCTTTCTACTTCAATGATTGCCATATTCATACTCCTATGGTCATCTCTCTTCCTTAAAAGAGAATAAAAATAAAAAGTGCCTATATTATTGTTGACCTACTGAAAGTGTATTAGAAATGTTCCCTTAAAATCAGCTATAGATTTTTTGCTGAGTTAGGAAAGTTTTATCCACTTCAAAAAGATTCAAGCTCAGGCTTCAGTAGGAGTAATATTTTTGATCTATAATAGCATCTTGTGTGGCTCTTTTTCTGAAGTATCCTAATGTCAGAACAGATACTCAATCCATATCAATAAGAATCCGATTAAAGACTGGCAGTACCTGGAATTGTACTGGGCTACTAAAGGGTGAAAAATATAGCTTTCCTTAAGACTGTAATAAAAGCTATTGTCCCTAGTTTTTACCAGAAAGTGTAGTGATTGAGGCATTTATCCAATTTAGAGAATAACACATTTGCAGCAGGTCGATGTTATTGCTTATCTGGCCGAGGAAGGTGAATGCCATAGAAATAAGCTTTAATTACTATGAAGAATAAATAAATCCCCAACCAATATTTCTATAGTGGGGACAATTGTCAGAAACAGAACAGTAAACAAAGCAGACAGAAGGATTCAATGGAACTGTTTCAAACAGTGAATGCTGTAGATAGCTAGATGTGAGAATAAGGAAGATTGGACTCCACCTTTTTTTTTCTGCTTAGAAAGCATGCAGAACCTTTTTTTTTTCCTGTGAAAAGTTTGCTAGAGAAACAGGCAAAGCAGCAGTGATGTAAAGGATGAGTCAAAGTTAGCCAAGTAAAGGTAGGAAGGGACTGGGTGTGGCAAAGCAAGTGAAGAGGGGCTAATTTCAGCAAAGACCAGAGTCTAGAGAGAGGGATAACATGGGGAGCCTGGCTAACTAAAGTTATAAAATATGAAATTGACATTTGATAGGTCTAAAACATTAAATATTGGCAGTTTTATATAGTTCAGCCTAATAGGTTATAATTGTATAGCAGAAATAATGAGAGTAAGTGGCAAGAATTGAGACAAAAGAAATTAGAAAGCACCAAATACAGAGCCATGTAAACCATGTGGAATGGATGAATAACATATATATCTTTCTGAACAACTTAAAGCCAGTGTCAAGTAGGAACACTCTAACAATGCAGAAAAACAGCATCCAATATTTTGCCACAGGGAATGCAATTTGTTAAATCTTATCAACATTTAACTCATCTTTGTGTTATTCCACTGTGTCCACTCTGCACAATATATGCATATGTTTCTATATTAGACATGAGGTGAGTGTGTCTGTCTGTATACATCTGCATCTGTATGTATTAGGAACGAAACAGAGAATGTAGCATGATGAGTATTTATTTTTATTTTATACATTTTCACAGTAAAGCAGAGATGGTAGGTGGTAATTTAGTCCTCTTGACCCGTAATCTATCTAGATTTCCCACATAGACCATGGGTCACCTTCCTATGGCAAGCCCTGCCACTTATACGTTATACTAATGTCATTCTATTGGCATTACTCAGTAATATTGCTCCAACTATAAATGGAGTGTGTGCGTGTGTGTGTGTGTGTATTCACCTCATTACAGGAATACTGAAATAAATGTTGTACTGTTAGATTTTCTTCTTCTAGTCCTCATTTCCTTTAGCCAGTGATAATTTCGAGAGAAGAAGCAAGGTTTAAAAGATGAGAAAAATTGTTCCTTCATTAATGAAGGGATCTCCAGATAGCGAAAATCAGTGCTACAATTCGAGGGCAGTCCTAGAGGCTACAATCCAAGACTCTGAAATATCAACAAGAGAGTTGAAAAGTTATCAGTGAAACAATGTTCATAAACATTGTTAACTCTATGCATTTAAATTCAGCAAAAATACAGTTGGAAGCTCTCTCTCTTTGATTTGTGTTGTTTATTAGCATTTCTGGTTCTGATTGAGAAATAACTTCATCTTATTTATATTACTCTCATCAAAGTTGATTTTTGGCAATTATCTGAGTAGAGAAGAATTTAAAATGTATTATTTAAAAATTTTACATAATGGTTATGCATCATTTCAGTATGTAGCTGCATCTTGTGACACCTGTCAACCCCATATGACAACCAGCATGAAAAACTAGAAGAAATAAAAATTGAAATCTAGAAGAAATAAATGCAGAAATCAATGACTTCTGGAGGCTGCAGTGAACTGTGTAATCCTCCACCCTTGACCATTTCACGTTTTATGCAGAAGGAAAACACTTGGGGAATACATTGAGGAGTGTATACTCAAAGTTAATTGTAAGCAATGAAATAAAAGATATAAGCATGTGAGAAATAACATCACCTATTATTTTCCAGGGACTTTGGGAGTTGTGTATACCAGCATCCCAAAAGGGGAAACCCCCCTCCACCTTTTTTTTTCCTAGGGATTTTGTAGGTTTATGTAGCTCATGAATGTGTCTGTTTCTAGTAAATCCACTATAACAAAATATCAGAGAAGAAGGATTATATAGCCCAGGCTGGCACTGGATAAAACTGAAAATAAGAGAAGCCTACATTTTGCCTCCCTCTTTTCTTTATGCTAGGCTCTTGATCTCTTCTCCTGCTACAATGCCATTCTGGGGTTTTATTCTAGCATAGAGGAGACAAGGGAGTCTTCCTGAAGCACTGAGTGAAAATGAAGGAATCATCTCCCTGAAAGAAACATGAGGTGCAATCCCCTCAAGGGTGTTTGTTTTAGTATAATAGATTGCTAAAGATAGAAAAGTCTTCATAACTGCAAAGACCAAAGCAGAGTGGTATAGTTTGGAGTTCAGATTTAACTGGATTTCATTTTTAGCTTTATCGTTTTCAAATTGTGTGTTATTTGTTAAATTTCTGTGTCCCCTTTGAACCTCAACTTCCTCATCTGCAAAAATGGGATGATCTTTCTTTCAGGGTTAATATGAGGATTAAATGAGATCAGTTGTAAAAATTTCCGGTATGGTGCCCAACACAGTGGGAACTCAGAAACGTGACTTTGCATACCTTCATTAAAAGGTGAGGTAACATGTGGCAGAATTAATTATTAAACATAGAACAGAACCCCACCTTGTATCCATTTAACTTTGACAATGTGATCCAGTGATTTCCAAATACGAGCCCTTTTTTTTTTCAGCACAGTACCTAGAAAACAGCAGACTTTTCAAAAGTGCTTAAAGACCGAATGACTGAGTCTGAGTGACTGGCCTTGACATCCTTGGAGCACGACTCAGGATTAGACAGGTGCAGCTGATAATTGTGTGTGACCATTTCTCAGGTCTCACCATCCACAGGACAGACACATTACCTTATATTTCCATGCAGACAACCTGTAAAAAGCCAGTCAACCTTTTTCTTGTGCAAATATTATCCCACAGTTAGATTTCTAAAAACAATTGCCTGGAAGTCAATTTTAAAAGTAAATACTCAACTTTACTCTTGAGTAAATAAAGAAGCAACTTCAGGGTTTGGAGAAATACTCCAATAATATTTCAAGATAAAACTGTTAAGGTAAGAACTCTGAAATGAGTTTTATGAGATTTATGCAACAATTTGGTGTTTATCATAAACTGCCAGGATGCTGATCTTTATTTTTAAAATTTTTTCACCCTCATATTTTTCTGTAATAGCATTCTAGGTACTAATTTACCATCCTCACATTTCCCTAACTCCCACTGGTTTTCTGAAAATTGAGGAAAATTGATGGCTATATTTTTTGACATGTAGGACTATACTCAGATTTTCATTTACAGCTCTGGCTCATGGCTGTATTTCTGAATCACATTTCCTTAAGTAGGCACTCTCTTTTGTGACCTCTCCTTCACTTCATATTCAGGAGCAATCAAGACTGACACCTTAATAATAATAAGAAACAGCCAGTGGAATGTGTGGAAGAGATATAAAGAAAGGTAAAAACTCTCTTGGGCACTATTATTTCACTCAAATATAATTTAGCTAGTTTTGGTAGATTGTTGAAGCAACTGTTGATCTTAAAAAATGATTATTGATGAAGTATTAGTAAATTAGCCAGAAATATGTAGAGTTGTGCTAATGGTAATGCTATCAAAAACTTATAGTCAAGTGCTTCCTGATATTGAACTCTTCCACTCTAAATTTTGATATTTACAAATGTGGTAAATGTTATTCCCTTGCTTGTGCCAAGAACCTACAAATACTCTAGTATACTCTTAACATGAGAAGAAATAGGACAATTACTTCCTTTCTTACCAATTCACCTTTTATGTGATAAAGAAAAAAATAATGATAGATTGCAATGAACATCTTAGAACCTATTAAAATGAAGTACAAATGAGGATAAAAATATGCACAATATCTAACTCTTGAGAATTGGATAGTTAGGGTTAAGAAAAGGATGATGAAAAACTGACTTTAAGACATTATTTAAAACTCTTTCTGTCTCATACTGACTGGAATGATTGATGATGCTACCACCATTGACAATGAGAGTTTGAGAAGAGGTGAGTCACTTTTAATGGTGTAGGTTCAGACTCAGATCATCTACAAATGAACTTGTGTTGCTATTTCCTTATTTTATACATTAAAAAAATCAATTCCAGGAATATAAATTATTTGTACCATTGAATTTCAACTTACTTTCTGGTAGCAGAGACATGATAAATGCTGCATTACATAGTTGTATTGATGGTCTGAAATCCTTAAACGATAGAGGAGAGCACATACCAGCAGTTTCCGGCAAGTCTTTAAAAACAGACTTCTACATGGTGAAACCCTGTCTCTACAAAAAAAAAAAAAAAAAAAGAAACGAAAATTAACTGGTGTGGTGGTGCATGCCTGTAATCCCAGCTACTTGGGGGGCTAAGGCACAAGAATCGCTTGAACCTGGGAGGCAGAGGTTGCAATGAGCTGAGATCATGCCACTGCCCTCCGGCCTGGGTTGACAGAGTGAGATCGTCTCAAAAACAAAAATAAAAACAGCCTTCTAGAAAACAACCTGAGATGCTTCTTCAAAATGGTTGTTACTTCAGTGAAAACAAACAGCTACCTTATGAAGCCAGTGACTTATGATAATGACATAACTTTGTTGCCATCATCAATAACAACAACAGAAACATGAATATATTCTTTTGACAATTTCCGTCTTGCTCTCTTATGCATTTCAGCCTCATACCAACCCTAAGGGAATGGGAAATATGTATTGTTTTGCTTAATCTTCATCCCACTTTCCCACTGTCATCAATTCAGGAGACCAGACTAGTTTGAGAAAATACACAGGAGAGCAAACACAAGTCTGTGTTGCCATTTCCTGCATGAGCAGACAGAGCTACAAAAATCTAGGCTATGTGCATTCCTTAAGAAGCTGAAAAGCTCTTGGATAGGAGCGACTATATTGCATTCTGCTTTGGGTGTCCACTAACTGGCGAAATTCCTACGATATTAAATTGTTTGCTAAACAAACGAATGAGTAAAAATCATTTATAAACTACATTACACAAACAATTTAAGAGTAGCCTTTCCTTTCTTGCCTTGGTTCTTTGGACCCTCACAAATCAGCATCTTCATCTTACTTTGTTGGAACACTGGAACACTGCCATCTCTTCATCCTCTAAGGCCTAGGATCTTGCAAAAGTTAGAGTAGGAGGTCTACATACCCTTGACATGTTAATGAAAAATAAATTCTGGGACCTCTGCTTAATATAAAGAATTTTATCTAAGGATATTAGAATTTTATCTTTAATATTCACAAGTGCAGTTGATCTTCATTATTCATGGATTCTATATTTGCAAACTTGCCTATTTGCTAAAATTTATTTGCAACCCCCACATCAATACCCTAGGCAAGCTTTTAAGATCATTCTCAAACACGCACGGAGAAGTGAAAATTTGATTCTCCCAATACACATATTCACAGTTGAGATAGAACAAGGTTATGCACTGCCTTTTTGTTTCAGCAAGTATCTTTTTCATGATCTGTTTAGTGCTGCTTTTTTTGCATATTTGTGCTTTTTGTTGATAATTCCACTGTCTAAAATGGTCCCTTAGCATAATGCCAAAGTGCTGTCTGGTGTTCCTACATACAAAAAGGCTGTGATGTGCCTTACTGAGAAAAAACCATGGGTTAAGTAAGCTTTGTTTAGGCACGAGTTAAGAGTGCTCTTGGCCCTAAGTTTAATATGAATCACAAACGTATATTAAATAAAGTGTCTTTAACCTGGAGAGGATGCGGAGAAATAGGAACACTTTTACACTGTTGGTGGGACTGTAAACTAGTTCAACCATTGTGGAAGTCAGTGTGGCGATTCCTCAGGGATCTAGAACTAGAAATACCATTTGACCCAGCCATCCCATTACTGGGTATATACCCAAAGGACTATAAATCATGCTGCTATAAAGACACATGCACACGTATGTTTATTGCGGCACTATTCACAATAGCAAAGACTTGGAACCAACCCAAATGTCCAACAATGATAGACTGGATTAAGAAAATGTGGCACATATACACCATGGAATACTATGCAGCCATAAAAAATGATGAGTTCATATCCTTTGTAGGGACGTGGATGAAATTGGAAACCATCATTCTCAGTAAACTATCGCAAGAACAAAAAACCAAACACCGCATATTCTCACTCATAGGTGGGAATTGAACAATGAGATCACATGGACACAGGAAGGGGAATATCACACTCTGGGGACTGTGGTGGGGTCGGGGGAGGGGGGAGGGATAGCATTGGGAGATATACCTAATGCTAGATGACACATTAGTGGGTGCAGCGTACCAGCATGGCACATGTATACATATGTAACTAACCTGCACAATGTGCACATGTACCCTAAAACTTAGAGTATAAAAAAAAAAAAAAAACAGAAACACATATGAAAACGAGTATATATTTATTGCATAAAAATGTTGCAGCCAGGCATGTTGTTGGCTCACATCTGTAATCCCAGCACTTTGGGAGGTCGAGGTGGGTGGATCACTTGAGTCCAGGAGTTTGAGACCAGCCTGGGCAACATGGAAAAAACCTGTCTCTACAAACAAACAAACAAAATAGCTGAGCATGGTGGTACACACCCCTAGTCCCAGCTACTCTGGTGGCTGGGGTGGGAGGATTGTTAGAGCCTGGGAGGTCAAGGCTGCAGTGAGCCATAATCATACCACTGTACTCAAAAAAAAAAAAAAAAAAAAAAAAAGATAAAAATGTTGTCACCTGTGGTTCAGAGGAACCTAACTCTATATTTCCCCTTAAGGGCAGTGGTTCAGTATTTTCTAATTCAGTGTTTTTAGTGGCTTTATAGAACATACCTATCATGAATGATGAGAATTGATTGTAGATGTTATCATTACAATCTCAATTTTATACAAGAGGAAATGGAGTCCAATCAGGTAATTAGTGGCTGACAAGAGATTATGCCACCAGAAATTGTAACTAAGACATCCAAAATATTGCCATTTTAACTACCACAGATTCCTTTGTGTGTGAGTGGTGTGTGTGTGTGTGTGAGTGGTGTGTGTGTGTGTGTTGTATGCATACACGTGTATGTGTATAGTGATATTCAGGGGCATAGCAGTGTTAAAAATAATTTTTTAAAGGTGAAGAATAAAAGATATCAAATCTTATAAAAATAAAGAATGGATACCTCTTAATAGGTTAATATTATTTAAATAAAGCAGAGTCAATATTTGTTGTGAACTTTTATACTGTTTGGTAAATGAATGTTTGTTAATCACTGTTTGGCACTCAGATGTTTTTTAGAAGCCAGATATCCCTTAGGCGCGTAGTCAGGGAGTTAGACCCTGGAAATACCATCACTGTGGCATTTTCTATAGTTTTTTCTCATGAGATTCCTTTGGAAATAAGACACATGCTACAGATGCGTCCAAATATTTTTGTTTAAATCTAGTATTCTTTTAGTGAAGCTCATCTCAATAGACTAATTTTCTTTCACACATAGGATGATGGATAAACATATCTGCCTGTGGTGGAGGAAGTTTCTTGAGATGAGTGTTTCAAGGTCAGAAGGCTTTAAGAAGACATATTTTTCTGCCAGCTTGCTGGGTAGGGTCAAGACTTTTCTTGGTGCTATAAAAACTTAGAAGGCAATTAAGCTGTGAACTGTTTGACTTCATTTGGTTGTTTGTAAGCACTGGGTCTGCCTTGTTAGAGAATACTCCACGTGGCAGATGGTATGTTAAGGCTTCCTAGTGGCAGCAACTTGAACCCCCACCCCCTGCTTTTTTTAAAAAAAATTTCATTGCATTTATTTTTATTTTAATAAAGCAATGCTCCTTAAAAAACAGAGGAAGTTGTACAAGCAAATAAAGTGTGCATTTTAATTCAATAACCATTTATTGAGAATCTGCTGTATGGCAAGCCCTATACTATTTGAAACATACCCTAATATTACAAATACTGTAATTTACTGGATTGAGAGGTTTATAATATCCCTAGAATGCTAGCATATGAAGAAAATGGTCTCTTATAGAGCATTAGTACGAACTGGAGTGGCTTTGGCAGAAATGGGCTGATTGTATAACTAGTCCAAAGCTGGCTTTGTGACCAATGACAAAGTATGTTATCCTAGACAAGTTTCTTAATATCTCTGACTCTCAGTTTCCTTACTTATAAAATGAACTAATGTTGCCTCTTTCAAAGAATTATCGTGAGGACTAAATTAAGAGAGACATATAAAGGCTTAGCACAGGGTCTGCCACATTACATTTGCTCAGTAAAGGTTTGTTACCACTGTGTTATTATCAGGAGAATAAATATGAACAGTAGAGAGGAACAGCAGCTCAGCCCAGCTTCTGTCTTTATCAGTGAGAATATTTGGCATATATTGGAGCTTAGGAGTATGAGGAGAAAAAGCCTGGCGTAAAGATATCACAATGAACAACGTTATTTTATTTATTAAATTTAAACCTGGTGCCACTCTTGATTGACTTGCCTCAGGGCATGGCTGGAAGATAAAATATTTTATTAAAACACAGGAAGCGGAGTGGCAGTAGCAATTGCAAATTGTTACATTAACAGCTCTGAGGTGACATTTCAAATGCCCTCTGGTACTATGCTTTGCATATTTGTCAGTTGGAGTTTTGTTGAATCCTGATGGGTTGGTCATTCCTTGAGCTAGGGCCGCCCAGAGGACAATTTCTGACTCCCAGGTTCTGTAGGCAGAAAACTCAATTATCTGCTGTAGTTTCAATCATGCATAGGTATCAAGACTCTCATAGGTACACTTGAAGCAGGTGCTGGAAATAAGTAAGGAAAGCAAGTGAGCTTTCCTATATTCATTTCCACTGCTTATGGAATGATTGGAAATTTGAAGGTTATTTTGCTGAAACGGTGTAAGTGATGCCATGTAAAACTCTCTTTGGAAAATAATCCTGGTCATGACATTATCATTAAAGAGGTAAAAAATTAAGAACTCAAAATGTAAGCTCAGATAAGCTGAGTCCCATGACCCATTTTTCTGGGTGATTTTCACAGTGTATTTCAAAAATGTGTAGAGATTTTTCATATAAAAGACACCTTTTAGCTTGTTCAATCACACCAAAGTTCTCTTTCTCTCTCTTTTTACATGATTTTCCTCCAACACTTCTCCTCCATTTCTTACCCTTATCTCCTTCATTTCTATGATTTCTTTCCAATTATTTTGTCTTGCCCAAAGGGTAGCTTTACAAAATAAATTAAATGAAGAAATGTATACATGCTTCAAAAATTGCCATTCATTGATGAAAGAATTGTTGCTGATACTTGGTTTCTATCCCCATCTCCCTTTCTTCTTCAGCCAGTAAAGGAACAATAATATCTTTCCTTCTAGCTTGTCTTGCAGCTAGGTGTGGCTTTCTAATCTAGTTCTGGTCAATTAGTTATAAATAAAATTCTTCTAGAAAGCTTCTGGTAAAGATTCTTGTTTCCAGATAAAAGATAGGCAGCTGATAGTTGCTTGCTGGTACTGCAACTTCTCACTTCTTCTCTTCTTTAACAAAGATGTGATGCCTGATATTCAGTAGCTCTCATTGCCATGAGGTACAGAAAAGGGTCATTATTGAAAAAGTTGGAGAACAGAAGGGTATTTGATGACATCATTATGTTGCTAAATCAGTCCAGAGACCACCTACCTCCAGACTTTTTTTTTTTTTTTTTTTTTTTTGACGTAGAGTGGCTCTGTCACCTAGGCTGGAGTGCAGTGGTGTGATCTCGGCTCACTGCAACCACTGCCTCCCGGGTTCAAGTGATTCTCCTGCCTCAGCCTCTCGAGTATCCGGGACCACAGGTGCGCACCACCATGCCCATCTAATTTTTGTATTTTTAGTAGAGGCTGGGTTTCACCATTTTGACCAGGATGGTTTCGATCTCTTGACATCGTGATCCGCCTGCCTCAGCCTCTCAAAGTGCTGGGATTACAGGCGTGAGCCACCGTGCCCTGCCCAGACTTCTTCATAAATGAGCAATAATTATCTTTATCATTTAAGTCCCTGGCAGTTTGGTTTTCTGTTATTTGTAGACTAAAACATTTCTAACAAATATAAGTACAGAATTCTCTAAATATCCTATCTAGAGTTTCAGCCTTTTTGTGTATATTATTATTACAACATAATTGTGAGATCCATAAGATAAGAAATATGTATTACATGATTCTGCAAAGCATGCTATCATACTGGGCAGAATCTTACACTGCATAAACTTCAGCTTTTGGGAGAACTTGATAAAGTAAAACCTTAAAGGCTAAGTATAAATTACATTAGAAACTTATAAATAAGTTATACATATGAGGAAGAGGGAGAGATGGGAGTATAATCCAATGATCTAACTCTTAGAGAACTTAGTTTTCTTCTGTGACATTTATAATGTTGAAGTATCTTTATCAGCACCTAAAATGTTGGTATCACTTTAAAACTTAGTGCCATTCACACAACTCACAAGAAGCATATGCACAATGTTGTAACATTACACCAAGGGGTTGGAGTTGCAGTAAAGATGACTATTTCTACCTGTAAATTGACTTGCTACAGGACCCCAGGCAAGGCCCTCAATCTCCCTGTCTCAGTTTACCCTGTCTGTAAGGACAGGATGATAATTCTTGCACAAAGTTTTTCTTCAGAGGGCTATTGAAGGATTATTAAAAGACCACATTGAGTGTATTGGAGAAAAAATTACTTATTTTTCAAGAATGAAGAAAAGGAGACATATTCCAAGCCTGCTTGGTGCCTTACATGGCCTTTAACAGCTTCTCAGAAAAGAGCACTCCAGGAATGGGATCAGTTACACTGATCACCATTTTCTCTACAGTGCAAAAAAAGAGGATACTATGCCCTGTTTCTAATGCTGCACTGAAAGGATCAGGTAAGAGAGAGTTGCCATCTTAGTCTTTTCTACTCATATGTGGGAAATAGAATATGATAATGAGGTGGCATGCAGAAAAAGAAGAGATTACCTAGTGATTTCATATGAAACCATCCATCCCCTTCACAATTGTTAAGTACCTAATTGAACAAAGTTCTGTAACAGGTATTTTACCAGAATAACTGTGTAGTACCACCTAGAGACTTATGGTTCAGGCCCTTATTAATTATTTTCTGAAATAGGATTCTACTGATGTCCCAATATCTCTTTATCCATTACCCTATTGCCTTCACATTGCTGCTAGATTCATCTTTTTAAGGCAGATTTTTCAAAGTCATATTATTTCCTTGTTCAAACATTTTCAATGTTTGCCCATTGCTTGTAATTTAACGACAAAATCTTACCTAAGAATTCAAGATCCTCTACAATATGATTTATATCTCCTACTCCATATACACAAATGTTGCTCTGCTTAAATTGTTCCCCTCTCTTTTGTACCCATTCTTCCCCTAACCGACCCCATTTTTTTCAACTTAAAGGGACGCTACACCAACATCAAGGCTCATGCCAAATGCCATCTCATAGAAGCTGTTTCTGATCCCCATAATACATAAAATTTCCTTAAGACTTTTTTTTTCACACGGCTCTTGTGCCATTTCATTTTATATTTTAATCATTTGGTTATCATTTTATTTCACCCTTTTGGAATGCACCCTCTTGGAAGGAAAAGACAGTGTTCTGATGATCTATTCTAGCACCTAACATATAGTGGATTATCATAAATGCTCAATTAAAAAAACTGTTAGGTTAAACTAAGCTCTAAATATTGAACTAAAACATGAATGGACATTAAAGTATTTATTTTCATTTTGGTTGATTCATAACCAGCCATGGTACAGTCATAGAAGTAGGGAGAAGGGTACTTGAGAAAAGGTGAAACATATATCCATAAGAACTCAGTGTTGCGTATACAAAGCCTCATTACTTGGAAGCTGTTCACAGCTGAACAGACATTTAGTATAATTAATCAGTACAGAGAGAGGGAGAAAAAGAGAGACAGAGGGAGACAGAGGCAGAGACAGAAAGATAATCTTAAACTAAAAACTTAACTGCTATAAGTAGGTATAATAGCCCAGATTTTTATTCTATTATTAGAAAGTTCAATATTTTGGCAAGCAAAATATTTAATAGATGAATTAAAACAATTATTCAAAATCACATAATAATAATAGCTAACACTCATTGAATTTTTCCAATGTGCCATGCTGTAGGTAAACTGCATGCATTATATCTCTTAATCTTCCAAAAAGCCCTATGAAGTAGGCATTATTTCCCCCCATTTTATAGAAAAGAAAACTGAGGTTAGGCTACCCAGTGGGTAATTAATTGAGCCAGAGTCACACCTGGGTCAGTCTTGCTCCAGAGCTCATGCTCTTCCTATTTTATTTTTATTCCCTCCCAAATGATCTATTTTCCCATCAGTTTTCCATAGCTTTTCAGTTTTAGAAATTTTCAAGTTGAGAGCCATGCTAAGGCATCTGCCTGGTGAAGACCAGGAAATGAGTCATTTTCCAGATCAGGGTGAAGTTCATAGTCCCTGTGCACCACAGACAGACCATCCTATTCATCATCTCCTGTACATTTAAGCTCCATTGCCTCCTTTTACCATAAACATTAACAAATTAGGACAATAAGGCTGGAGTTTGCAGCTTAAATTCAACCAAGAAAAAATAATTTGGGATTCTTTGTTTGCCAGATGTGCATGATAGGCTGATAATCAGGAAAAGGGAAAATTCACCATCACTGTCGGTGTGGTAGGTTTTAAAGTGTGACCTCATCATTCCATTCTGGGGATGTAAAATGTGTTCAAAGACTTATCTATAACGTCTGAAAGTATAAACCTCATAGAAAAACAAAGTTGAATTTTTTTAAAAGTGACTGGAGTATTAGAAATATTTTTAAAAATCAATCCACTTCAGCCAGGATGACATCATAATGTAATCATTGAAAGTAATTTATTAAAAATAATCTGAACAAGCCCCTCAAACTGACTTCTAGTTCCCATTTTAAAGGAGATAAATTGGGACCTGGAGCTGCTACGTTAAATATTCAGCCAGATAAGAAGTGTGTTTGCTTTGTGACAGACCCCTTGAAATGGGGTTTGTTAAAATGAATGCACTGCATTCACAGAAACAGAAGCGCTTCTGGGTCCTGCTGGCAATAAATCCAGCAATTCGATTTTACTTGGATGTTTATCATCTCTCTCCTTCTGTGCACCGCAATGCGAAGGGGGAGGGGAGACGGCTGTAGTTCAGCTTACAGGCTGCTGGTGTCATCCCATTACCACAGAATGAAGATGGTGCATGGCGTGTTGCTATTCAAGCATTTAATACATTAGTCTGTAATTTTTGTCTTGGAGGTAATGAGGCCTGACAGCTTCGGCTGGTGCATGATAACAAACCCACACTGGTATCTTTCAAATTCTTCGTTGCCAAATTCATAAAGGAAGAAATGACTTTTGCAAGATGACAGTAAACATGCTTCATTTTATAAGACATTGTGGTTAACAACCTGAAACAATGAAGTATTTTTTTTGAGCTATAGCTAAACTAATTTGAGCTATATTAAAAGTGCTGATGTGGATGCCAAGCCATTGCTTTTTTTGCTTTTGTTTTTGGCTTGTTTTCTTTTTGGTTAGGGGGAGGAAACTCAGGAAAACATACACAGCTTAATTCTCAGAGTTTGACAATGGTCATAATAATGATGGTAATAAAGAGTTCTGCCAATAGTTCCCTCCCTAGGGCCTTATCTTGAAAAATAAAAAGAAATCAAGCAAGATGGGTTCTTAGAAAGGCTGGGATTGCCGCACAGCGTTGTCACTTCAGTACACAGATCAGCTGCCGTGGAAGACAGGAGACAGACTGCTGATGAGCACCTCAGTGGAGTATCATGGCTTTTCAGTGACAGTGAAGTGCAAACGGGCTTTCAGGCAACTGAGAAATCTTTGGAAAAAATTTGTTTTAACACCCTCTGACAACTGGTTTTTAAGCATAATCATTGGAAGAAACCCATTGCAGGAATCATTTTTAGTTGAAATTAGCTGACAAATCCAAGGCTCATGGGGAGTAACTGGCATTTGAATTGTGGAGTCTTGCCAAATGCAATAAGAAACACATTTACTAGGAGTAAATATTCCTGTACCCCATCAACCAGGGTTAAAGAAGGGGCCCACTGTTCAGACACACACTTTTCTCTTTTTGAAAGCTCTGTTGAATCCTAAATGCAAAGTTCTAAAAAAGAAGACCGGAATAGAAATAATGAACAAAGGCAGGTCTAAGAGGAATGACATTACCAGTTCAAACAATAAAATTGTTCCCTCTGTTTAGAATAAAGCCATGCTATAGAGATGTGAAAAATTTGGAGATGAGAGAAAAGATGCATTGATTTGAGTATCTGTATTTGTAGGTACAAAAAGTTATTCATTGTGTTTTATTTAGCACTAATAATATAAATTAATTCTTGCTGATAATTATTTTTAAGAAAGAAGGATTAATAACTTTAAAATTTTAAATTGAATTGAACAATCCTGGCATTATAACTGCTTTTTAAAGATAATCAGATTCCTGTAAGTTTATAAGCTAGAAGTCCTTAGAAAGAAAATAGGGAAATCAATCTAGTCATCTAAGCAAAAGATTGTATAACAAGTGGGTACATTTTTCTAATAGAAAATACATTTGAAAAAGATGGCTTTCTACTTAATCACATCTTTCTTTACTGCAGATAGATTGTCTCCTTCAGAACTGTAAATGTTTTAGAGGATATCACTTGATGCAGCAGACAAAGAAATGTCCTAAAATGTTTCTAGGAAATATAAAAGCGTTCACATAAAATGAATAAGACTTTATGCTCAAGAACAATTATTAAATGTAGCAGTAGGCCAAACATTTTCATACTGTTATTTCCAAAATCTTAGCCTTCAAGAATCCAAATGGAAAGTCATCATACCATAGACTCTGAGATTTTAAGCAAACTTTTATTTTGGCCTTACTTTCCTTATATTAAATAAGCACAAGCATTTTTAAGTAATCTTTTATATTTTTCCTAAATGTTCACCATAGCATAGACAGTTCACCTTGCACAAATGCATAGCTTTACTTAAAAGTTGTATTCATAGTTGAGTTTATTTTGTGTGATCGTGTTTGAAGGCAACTTGAAAGCAGATGTGAGGACCTACTTTTCCTCTTCTGAGACACTGCTGTGACTCAAAATGCTATGGACCTCTTCCAGTAGTCTATAAGAAGGATTCCAAGACAGCCAAGGGAGTACCTAATAGGAGCACATGCACAGTCAGACTTGCAGGAGGATGCGGTAGGTTTTCAAGTTGACCTAGATAGTCTAGGGAAGACTAATGCCATGCTTCATCATCACAAAGACACAGAGAATGGTCTTTGAGTTGCATTTTTCTCCATTTACTAATAAGTAAATGTAAAGTTGGAATAAGACTGATATATAATTTCCATACCTCAGTTATTATTTTATTCCAAAGACATTAGCAAACTGGCATGTTTATAAAGTATAATTACTATTGTGCTGAAGGGATTGGTAATTAACTTTAGGTTACTAACTTTAGGTTACTAAGTTCCTGGGAGTATAGGAGTTTATACAGAAGCTACAATTCTTAAATATTCTCAAAAGGTCTCTTGTTTTAGGTGAGAAAATGGACTAAAGCTCTTCTCAAAGGTAAGACTTTATCACATTTAAGGTAAGACAGTGTAAGTAAAATTAATAAAATTCTTGTTTTTCAATTATGATGTTGATGGATAAAAATCTTAGAACATTAATTGAGATACCATATCTGTCAGGAAGGAATTCATTTATGGGAAAAAATTGGAGACAAATTTTTAAATCATACTGATCCAGAAACCTTGGAAATATGATTATTGCATTGTTTTGAATTGAGACAGCAAGATTGTATTTTGCCAAAACCTAGAGTAGTGTCAGTGGTTGTTACTTTCATTATCAATATCCTCCATTATCCACACTTTATTCTTTCTTTATCCCTTCTTTCCTTCTGTTTCAATTCACATTTTATTCATATATACTGTGTGCCAAGCACCAGTATATATGCTAGGGATATATATACTGCTAAGTAACTATATATATGCTAGGGATATATATATATATATATATATATGAGAATATATATACATATATATAAGATATATACATATATATATATATAAATATGTATATATTTGAGCAGTATGGTCATTATACAAGCATATTATACAAGCACCAGTATATAAGCTAGAGATATATATACTGCTAAGTAAATGCTAGGGATAAGTGGTGAAATGTTAGTCATAGTTCCTTCAATCATGATATGTACAGCATGTTGGAAGGGCAGGCTGTTAACAAGTTTTAAAAAGGCGAGGCCCAGTGTGGTGACTCACACCTGTAATCCCAGCACTTTGGGAGGCCGAGGTGGGCGGATCACCCGAGGTCAGGAGTTCAAGATCAGCCTGGCCAATAGGATGAAACCCCGTCTCTACAAAAATACAAAAATGAGCCAGGCATGATGGCGGGTACCTGTAATCCCAGCTACTTGGGAGGCTGAGGCACAAGAATCACTTGAACCCAAGAGGTGGAGGTTGCAGTGAGCTGAGATCATGCCATTGCACTCCAGCCTGGGTGACAGAGTGAGACTTGTCTCCATTAAAAAAAAGAAAAAAAGTCCACTATTTCAATATTTTTCCATTTATTTGTGTTGTCTCTAATTTCTTTCAGAAATATTTTATAGTCCTGTATTTCACTTCTTTGGTTAGCTGTATCCCTAGTTATTTCATTTTCTTTGTGGCTATTTTAAGTGGGATTGTTTTCTTAATTTTACTCTCAGCCTGGACGTTGTTGGCAAGTAGAATTCTATTGATTTTTGCACATTGATTTTGTATCTTGAAACTTTGCTAAAGTCACTTACTAATTCTAGGAGCTATTTGGCCAAGTCTTTAGGATCATCTAGGTATACAATCATATCATCAGGGAAGAGAGATAGTTTGGCTTTTCCTTTTCCTCTTTGGATGCCTTTTATTTTTCTTGCCTGATTGCCCTGGCTAGGACTTCCAGTATGATGTTGAATAGGATTGGTGAGGGAAGGCATCGTTGTCTTGTTCCAATTCTCAAGGGTAATGGTTTGAGTTTTTGCCCATTCAGTATGATGTTGGCTGTGGGGTTGTCATAGATGGCTTTTATTATTTTGAGGTATGTTTCTACAATGGCCTAGTGTGTTGAGTGCTTTTTAACATGAAAAGATATTGGATTTTATCAAAAGCTTTTTCTATATCTATTGAGATGATCAAATTGGTTTTGCTTTTGATTATGTTTATGTGGTGATCACATTTATTGATTTACATATGTGGAACCAGCCTTGCATTCCAGGAATAAAGCCTACTTGATTGTGGTGGATTAACTCATGAATGGGAAGAATAAATATCATAAAAATGGTCATATTGCCCAAAGCAATTTACAGATTCAGTGCTATTTCTATCAAACCACCAAAATCATTCTTCCCAGAATTAGAAAAGACTGTGCTAAAATTCATATGGAACTAAAAAAAAAAGAGTTTGAATAGCCAAAGAAATCCTAACCAAAAAGAAAAAAAACTGGAGGCATCACACTATCTGACTTCAAAGTATGCTATAAAGCCACAGTAACTGAAACATCTTTGTACTGGTACAAAAACAGACATGCAAACCAAGCAACAGAATAGAGAACCCAGAAATAAAGCCACACACCTACAACCATCCGATCTTCAACAAGGCTGACAAAAATAAGCAATGGGGAAAGGACACCGTATTCAACAAATGGTGCTAGGATAATTGGCTAGCCATATGCAGAAGAATGAGATTGGATCCCTACATTTCACCATATAAAAAACTAACTCAAAATTAATTAAAGATTTCAATGTAAGACCTCAAACTATAAAAACCCTGGAAGACAACCTAGGAAATACTCTTCTCAATATCAGCCTTGGCAAAGAATTTTTGGCTAAGTCCCCTAAAGCAAATGCAGCAAAAGCAAAAATAGACAAGTGGGACCTGACATGATTTGGCTCCATGTCCCTACCCAAATATCATGTTGAATTGTAATCCCAAGTGTTGGAGGTAAGGCCTAGAGGGAGGTGATTGGATTATGGGGGTGGTTTCTAATGGTTTAGCAGCATTTCCCTAGTGCTGTCTGGTGATAGAGTTCTCACAAAATCTGGATGTTTGAAAGTTTGTAGCACCTGCTTCTTCTTTCTCTCTCCTGCCCACCATGTGAAGATGTGCTTGCTTTGCCTACACCTTTTGACATGATTGTAAGTTTTCTGAGGTCTCCCCAGAAGCAGAAGCCTGTGTAGCCCACATAACCATGAGATGATTAAACCTATTTTCTTTATAATTACCCAGTATCAGGTATGTCTCTATAACTGTGTGAGAACAGACTAATACAGGACCTAATTAAAGAGCTTCTACACAGCAAAAGAAATTATGAACAGAGCAAACAGACAACCTACAGAATGGGAGAGGATATTGCCAAACTATGCATTTAACAAAGGCCGTAATATCCAGAACCTTTAGGGATCTTAAACAAATCAACAAGCATAAAACAAATAACCCCATTAAAATATGAACAAAGGACACAAACAGACACTTCTCAAAAGAAGATATATAAGTTGCCAACAAACATATGAAAAATGCTCAGTGTCACTAATCATGGAGAAATGCAAGTCAAAACCACAATGAGATTACCATCTCATACCAGTCAGAATAGCTATTATTAAAAAGTCCAAAAAAACAAAAACAAATGCTGTTGGAATGCTTACACACTGTTGGTGGGAATGTAAATTAGTCGAGCCACCATGGAAAACAGTTTGGAGATTTCTCAAAGAACTTAAAACAGAGCTACCATTTGATCCAGTAATCCCATTCCTCGGTATATATCCAAAAGAAAATAAATTATTCTACCAAAAAGACACATGCACTCACATCTCATCGCAGCACTGTTCACAATAGCAAAGACATGGAATGAACCCACATGCCCATCAGTGGTACACTGGATAAAGAAAATTTGGTACATATATAACATGGTATACTATGCAGCCATAAAAAATGAAATCATGTCTTTTGCAGCACCATTGATAGAGCAGGAGGCCGTAATTCTGAAATGAATGAACACAGGAACAGAAAACCAAATACTGCATCTTCTCACTTATAAGTGGGAGCTAAGCATTGAACACACATGGACATAAATACGGGAACAATAAAAACTGTGGACTACTAGAAGTTGGAGGGATGGGGGATTTTAAAACTACCTATTGGATACTATGCTCGCTACCAGGGTAACAAGATCTATACTCCAAACCTCAGCATTAAACAGTATTTCCATGTAACAAACCTGTGTATATATCCCCAGTATCTAATATAAAAGTTGAAGTAAAAATATAAAAGTATTAAAAGAAAAAAAACAGAACCAACCCCTCGTATTTCAATAGTCATTTCCTCTTGGGTTCCATTAATTTCTTCAACAAAAATTTACTGGTCACAATTACAAGCTTATCAACATTCTAGACACTGATGATCTGCCTCCTTTCCCATTATTCTATAATGCCTCTACCATTCTCAAATTCCTGTCTTCTTAGAAAGTGCTTTGCTTTCCTGACTTAAAAAAACATCAAACTCTTCTTTGAGGACCTTACAGTTTTTTGTTTTGTTTTGTTTTGTTTTTACTATAGCCTTGTTTCCTTGCACCCTGATATCCCAGGAAGCAGGAGTGGTGTTAGTGCATTTATTCCTTCATTCATTTGTTCAGCAAACATCTATTCAGCAAATGTTTATTGAACAGACATCTAATGAATGTATAAGCTTTGACTGGCACTGACTTAGGTTCTTCCTTTTATGTTCTCTTTGCTCCTGTCTCCACTTTGATGCTCTTCTACTTTCAGATATATGCCACTCCAATACAGGTGGCTCCAGTGCCCCTCTTGTTGCTGTTTTCTTCTAATCTCTCAGTAAATCTGCCTTCTTCTTTGGTGGCCTTGACCCTTGACCTGTACTCTATCCTCTTTAAGGATCTTTAAACATTTAAAGATTTAAGACATCTTTAAGGATAATCTCTGGATCCATATTAGTAAATGTATGTTCTCCTAAGTCTATTGAAGAATTTATTATTCATTTATTTCTCCCTACAAATAAATATCACTTGATGTATTTCTTCTACAAAGAGCAAAATGAACTGGGTACAAAATTAACTTTAACTGGTGTTAAATATATTGAATTTTCAAATTTTTCTTGGTATTTAAGAAAGTTGTATCCTAATCATGAGCACTGTATTTGTCTACTTGACAATATATTACCCTAATATTTAAGGGTTTTATTTTTTAAGAGACTGAAAAAATATGATACTTAAATGTATTCACAGTGTGTATCTGTGACTTTCCCAAGATGATTGAACCAATATTTCAAGTAAAAATATGAATTAGGTTTATGAACATTTAAAGGGACAGTCTTACTATTTTATTAAGACCAATAAAGAAAATAAAACTTGATTAACAACAGTATGTAGCCATAAAACTTTCAATTTGTTAGTTACAAAGTTACAATGAATAGTTCATTCAAAAATCTTAATGGGATGTACTATTAAATTGGTCTTCACTATAAGTTATTACTTTGAGGATTAATATTTAGAATAACCTCCTTGAAAATTTTAGTGACTATGTTAAAATTTGGTTACATGATATATCATTCAATTAATTAACTCCAGAGAGATAAAGTTTCTTTTATTGTAGAAGTAGTCCCTTTTGAAAGCAATGAAATTTAGTTTATAACTAAATTAAATTCATACCATATTTGCTTGAAATATAAACTCAGCATACTAATGACAGACATGTTGAAGATACCTGATGTTAACAGGTTTAAATGTGGCATTGCTATCATGTTGATAGATAGTAAATTCTGTCTGTACAATAGCTGATGATATCTGGCAATTCACTTATACTAAAAATTAGGCATATTTCTCTCCAGTAACGTGAAAGTGCAAACATCCTTTCTGTGGACAATAGCCTAGAACAATTTGTAATTCATTGGGATTTATAAATCTATAAATATTATTTACAAGGATGACCTAATCATTGGATTTGTATCAAAAAAAGATTTATCAGAGAGGAACATAGAATACTTCTGAGAAATATTATATCAGTTACTTTTGCTTCCTGAGATAAAATGCAATAGCAAACTCAAGTTAGATCTGAATTTGAGATTTCATGTTAGTAAATTTTGGTTTATTACATTTGTAAAAATATTCTTAGTATTTTAAAATGATTTCATGTTCTGATTTAATTTGTTTGGCTTTTTATTTTTATTTTATTTATTTGTTTATTTTTGTGAGACAGAGTCTCACTCTGTCACCCAGACTGGAGTGCAGTGGTGCAATCTCAGCTCACTGCTAGCTCCACCTCCCGGGTTCACACCACTCTCCTGCCTCAGCCTCCTGAGTAGCTGGGACTACAGTCACCGGCCACCATGCCCGGTTGGTTTTTTTTTCTTTTTTCTTTTTTTTGTATTTTTAGTACAGATGGGGTTTCACCGTGTTAGCCAGGATGGTCTCGATTTCCTGACCTCATGATCCACCCACCTCGGCCTCCCAAAGTGCTGGGATTACAGGATTGAGCCACCGTGCCTGGACCTATTGGCTTTTTATCTTAAGTTGACTCAGAAAGACAAATTTTTAAGATGAAAAAAAATTTACGTGGTAAACACCTCAATCCCAAAACTCAGATATACAATGTATTTCCCATTATTTATCTTTTCTTTAAGTTGATTTATCAAGCTTTCATTCTTTCAGTAAACTTCACTTGATCATGATATAGGTATGTATTGCTAAGTTATGTTTACTAACATCTTATTTGTAATTTTTGCAACTATGTTCATGAGAGAGACTCATCTATAATTATACTTTCTTTGGTCCCTATCAGGTTGTGAAATCAAGATGTGCTTTCTTACAAATGTGTTGAGGAACTTTTTATTTTTCTTTCTTTATTATTAAAAGGATTTATGTTAGATTGGCATTATCTCTTCCTTGAATGTTAGGAAAAACTCATGGGTTAAAACATATGGGGCTACAGTAATAATTTTGGAAAAGTTTTAAATAATATATTCAATTAGATATTTATATGTTTTAATTTTCTATTTTCTATTTGGTCAGTTTTAGTAAGTTGTATTTTTAAAAGATTTTGTCCATTTCCTCCGAATTTTCAAATTTATTGGTGTAAAATTATTTGTAATATGTTTACTTTCCTTTTAAAGTCTATAGTTCCCTTTTGTCTTCTTTATATTGGTAACTTGTACCTTCATTCTTTTATTCTTGCTCAATCTTATGACTAATTTCTAAATTTTATTGATCTTTTAAAATAATCATCAACTATTTTTTAACTTCTAATATTACGTTAATTATCTATTTAATGGGTTACTGGTTTTCCCTTTCTTGTTTTCTTTTTTCTATTCTTAAGGTTTGATTAGTTGTTCCAGTTCTAACTTCTTGCAAAAGAAGCTTAGATTTTTGAAATTTTAGCCTTTCTTCCTTTCTTATATATACAGTTAACTCTATAATGTTTCCCTTCATCACTACTTTGACTGTGTCTCACAGTTCTTAGTATGTTATATATTCATTATCCTTTGAGTTTTTTTAGTTATTTTGCTGGTATCCAGACTGGAGTGCAGTGGTGGGATTATGGCTCACTGCAACCTTGACCTGGACTAAAGCAATCCACCTGCCTCAGCCTCCTGAGTGGGTGGGATCACAGGTGTGCATCACCATGTTCGGCTAATTTTTTCTTTTTTTTTTCATTTTTGTACAGATGGTTTCTCACTATGTTGCTCAGGCTAGTCTCAAACTCCTGGACTCAAAAAATTCTCCCACCTCAGCCTCTACAAGTGTTGGAAATACAGGCATGAGCCACCACACCCAGCTGTGTTAAAAATATTTTTAAAAATTACATCAATTTTCCATCCAAAAATTGTTTCAATTCATTTTTGCTCCTAATTTTTCTTTCTCTACCTGTTTGACAAAGTGTTAATAAAGTGTTTGTAAGACATGTTTTCCTGCTTGAAAAAATGTAGTTTATTATTATCAAAGTCATTATGATTTTCTAGATGAGATGGCAATGAAAATTTTTTTAGCAGGAATCAGTAAATAAGTGGGTATACATTACATAGTATAAACTATGATATTTTTTACTTGTCAGCAAAGTTATACTGACATTGGGAAGGTTTGTTTGTTGGGTTTGTATGTTGTGTTGTTTCAGAAAACACATTCATTAAATGTTACAAGGCAATACTAAAATTTACATAAATATATATTTCCATTATGAGTATGCATTTATTTTTAAGAATTTTAAGTGTACATATATTGATATAGTTTGGCTGTGTCCCCACTCAAATCTCATCTTGAATTGCAATCCCCATAATCTGCATGTGTTATAAGAGAGACCCAATGGGAGGTAATTGAATCATGGGGGCAGTTTTCCTCATGCTTTTCTTGTGATGCTGAGTGAGTTCCCATGAGATCTTATGGTTTTACAAGCATCTGGCATTTCCCCTGCTTGCACTCATTCTCCCTCTTGCCACCCTGTCAAGAGGTGCCTGTCACCATGATTCTGCATTTCCTGAGGCCTCCCCTACCTTGTGGAACTGTGAGTCAATTAAACCTCTTTTCTTTATAAATTGCCCAGTCTTGGATATTTCTTCATAGCAGCAAGAGAATGGACTAATACAGTAAATTGGTACCAGGAGTGTTGAGAATGTGGAATTGACTTTGGAACTGGCTAACACAGAGAGGCTGGAAAAGTTGAGAGAGCTCAGAAGAAGATAGGAAGATGTGGGAAAGTTTGGAACTTCCTAGAGACTTGTTGAATGGCTTCAACCAAAATGCCAATAGTGATATGGACAATGAAGTCCAGGCTGAGGTGCTATCCTTTAGCAGAGAGACTGGAAGCATTTCGCTCCTGCTCTAGAGATCTATGGAACTTTGAACTTGAGAGAGATGATTTAGGGTATCTGGTGAAAGAAATTTCTAAGTACAAAGAAGTCAAGAGTTAGCAGAGCATAAAAGTTTGGAAAATTTGCAGACTGACAATGCAATAAAAAAGAAAAACCCATTTTCTGGGTAGAAATTGAAGTCCACTTCAGAAATTTGCATAAGTAGCAAGGAACAAATGTTAGTCACCAAGACAATGCAAAAAATGTCTCTAGGGCATGTCAGAGACCTTCACAGCAGCCCCTCCCATCACAGGCCTAGAGGCATAGGAGGGAAAAATGGTTTTGTGGGTTGGGCTGGGCCTGAGATATTGGGACTCTGGAACTAGCCAAGAAAAGTAAATATTCTGTTTGTATTCATGTTCCTAAATCTTCACACTTTACTCCAAAACAATTCACCAAGTATGAACCAAACTTTCACAGCATAATTTCAAGCTAAACAATTGCAATTCTGTACATAATATATTCATGTTTGAAATGAATGCTTTGAACCACAAGAGGGAGATGTTGTCGAATGCTACAATGTGAACCTGCATTTTGAATATTTTATAACAGGGTAAGAGTTTCCACTCTAAGCAGCTATTCAAAAATAAATGTCAGGATTTTGGTAATAAATGCTGTGCATAAGTAAAAGCAAACAAAGAAACAAAACAAAACAAATAAAACCAGGCACTGTACACGATTTAGTGCCCTGCATCCCAGCTGCTCCAGCCACAGCTAAAAGAAGTCAAGGTACAGCTCTGACCCTTGCTTCAGAGGGTGCAAGCCCTCAGCTTTGATGTCTTATATGTGGAGTTGAGCCTGCCGGTGCTAAGAAGTCAAGAATTGAGATTTGGAAACCTCCACCTAGATTTCAGAGGATGTATAGAAATACCTGGACATCCAGGCAGAAGTTTTCTGCAGGAGCACTGTCCCCATGGAGAACCTCTGCTAGGGCAGTGCAAAAGGGCAATATGGGGTCGGAGCCCCCACACAGAGTCCCCACTGGAACACTGCCTAGTGGAGCTGTGAGAAGAGGGCCACCATCTTCCAGACCCAAGAGTGGTATATCCACTGATGGCTTGCACCGTGTACCTGAAAAAGTTGCAGACACTCAATGCCAGCCTGCAAAAGCAGCTGGGAAGGGGGCTGTACCCTGCAAAGCCAAAGGGGCCAAGCTACCTAAGGCTGTGGGAACCCACCTCTTGCATCAGCACGACCTGGATGTGAGACATGGAGTCAAAGGAGATCATTTTGAAACTTTAAGTTGTGAGGACTGCCCTATTAGATTTTAGACTTGCATGAGGTCTGTAGCCCCTTTGTTTTGGCCAATTTCTCCCATTCAGAATGGGTGTATTTACCCAATGCCTGTATCCTCATTTTATCTAAGTAGTAACTAACTTGCTTTTGATTTAAGCAGAAGGGACTTGTCTTGTCTCAGATGAGACTTTGGACTTGGCCTTTTGGGTTAATGCTGGAATGAGTTAAGACTTTGGAAGACTGTTGGGAAGGCATGATTGTGTTTTGAAATGTGAGAACATGAGATTTGGGAGGGGCTGGGGGCAGAATGATATGATTTGGCTGTGTCCCCACTCAAGTCTCATCTTGAATTATAATCCCCATAATCCCCACATGTTGTGAGAGAGACCCAGTGGGAGGTAATGAATCATGGGGGCAGTTCCCCCATTCTGTTCTTGTGATAGTGCTTGAATTCTCATGAGAGCTGGTGGTTTTATAAGCATCTGGCATTTTTCCTGCTGGCACTCAGTCTCTCTCCTGCAGCCCCGTGAAGAGGTGCCTTCCACCATGATTGTAAATTTCCTGAGTTCTTCCCAGCCATGCAGAACTGTGAGTTAATTACACCTTTTTTTCTTTATAAATTACTCAGTCTCAGGTACTTCTTCACAGCAGCGTTAAACTGAACTAATACATGTATATATTGTATTAGTCTTCTAGAACAGCCATAATAAAATACCACAGACTGGGTGCCTTGAACAACAGAACTTTCCTCAGTGTGCACACACTCCTGGTGTCTCTTCCTTTTATAAGAAAACTAATACTATTGGATTAAGGTAAGAATATTAATACTATTGGATTATGACCCCACCCTAATTACTTCATTTAACCATAATTATCTGCTTAAAGGCCCCACCTCCAAATACACGTTGGAGTTAGGGCTTCAATGTATGAATTTTTGGAGGACACAATTCAGTCCATAAAAGATATATAGAAGTGCTTTCTTGTCTATTAGGAACAAGTTTCAAGACGTTCAGTGGATGCCTAAAACTATGGATAGTACAGACCCTACATCCCTACATATACTATCCTTTTTCATATATATATATACACACACACACACACACACACACACACCTATGATAAAGTTTAATTTATGATTTAGGTACAGTAATAGATTGTTAATAATATCTAATAACAAAATAGAATAATTATAGCAATATTCTGCATAAAAGGTATTTGAAAATGATCTCTTTCTCTCTGTGTCAAAATATCTTGTACTGTACTCATCTATTTTTAGGCTGCAGTTGCCCACCAGTCTAAAGAAAGTAAAACAGCAGATAAGTGGGAACTTTTGTCTCATTATATTTTCTAGTGTGAAACACATCACTGTTGTCTTACTATAGTAACATAGCCTATATTAATTAATGCATTCTAGTTGTAATACTTTATTTATCTGTTTTATTTTCTATTTTTAATTTTATTGGTTTGAGAATGAGGTTAATATAAAAGCATAAGAAAAAGTCAAAGGGATTTTGTTCTTACTGTAATCGAAAAAATGTAAAAAAATTTTCTGTTAAACAGAGACATTTATTTAGATTTTCTGTTTTGGCTATCTAGCAGAAGCAATGTACAAAAAATATTTTAAAAACATCTTAAATGCATGTTTCAGGGAGCATAAAGATAAGAAAACTTGAATTTAGAAAAATATTGTGAGAACTGAAAGTACTGTAACCAGCGTCCTGGGAATATCTATTGATCACTGATGGCCTTTTCTGGTTCTTTGTTATTGTAGCCAAAACAAAGACATGAATGTAGCTGAAAAATTAGTTTAAATTGGTCTTAAGTTAGATTTGCTCCCAGATGCCTGGAAAAAACAAATACAAATTTTGCCTAGAAGGAAACAAGTGAAGTCCAGACTTTAAAAACTTATCACAGATTTAAAAAATAGGATTACAAAAGCAAATTCAAAAATCATAAGGCATAAAAGTGAATAATCATATAGAAGCATCAGCAGGAACAGCAAACAGGATAATTTGGACTAAATAAGTGACAGATAACAGAAATAACAGGCAGAAAATATAAAGTGTGTGTGTTTGGGATAAAATAAGGTATCAAAAGTAACTAAAAAACAAGAGAATATAAAAATTGACAAGGCAGTGTTAAGAAAACAGTCAAGTAAAACTTTAATATTAAAACATCCTATAAATAATAAAGTTAGAAATTCAGTGGATTGTTAGCATTCAAAATAGCACAGATAAAGAGAAGATTAGTGATCCAAAAGCCAATTTGAAGAAAATGTTTACAAGTAAGCAAAAGACAACCAAAGAAATAAAAATGTTAAATGGTTATACAGATGTAGAGAATGGATTGAGAAGACCTAAGATATATCTCCAGTCTCCCAAAAAGAGAGAATGAAGGAGGTATAAACTCAAAGGGTGAAAAACATTGTACATTTTCTAGAACTGATTAAAAACACCAATTAAGAAGTTTAATGAACTTCAGAAGAGCAAAGATAATGTCAAAAAGTGATCAAAGAGTGACTTCTTACCAAGTAACAACAATTAGCCTAATAGCTGATTTCTTAGCAGTAATAATGGATGCCAGAAAACAGTGAAAAAGCATTTCAATGTGCTAAGCCAAAGTAGTTATCAATTTGAAATTTTATACCTAGCAAACTATCTTTCAAGGATGAAAATAAAATAAAGATTAAATAAAATAAATAAAAACTGAGTGTATAATCAATAGACCTCATTAAGGGATTTTAAAAAAATCTGTTATGGGAAGAAAAATTATAATACAATTGATTCTTGTTACTCACTGTAGTTAGGTTCCATGAAGTTGCCATGAAAACTGAATTAGCAAATACTGAATCATGTCTTCTAGGGAAAATATAAAGTTAGGCCTTGCAAACCTCTGATTATAACAGTTTCACCAGCAAATTAATACGTAATCTTGTTTTATAAATGTTTCTGCTTAAGGATACTTTACTTAACTTTATATATATATATGTTTTATGGTTTTTTGTTTTGTTTTGGTTTTTTGTTTTGACAGTCTTGCTCTGTCGCCCAGGCTGGAGTGCAGTGGCACGATCTTGGCTGACTGCAATCTCCACCTCCCAGGTTCAAGTGATTCTGCTACCTCAGCCTCCCACGTAGCTGGGATTACAGGTGTGCACAGCACACCCGGTTAATGTTTGTATTTTTTGTAGAGATAGGGTTTTGTCATATTGGCCAGGCTGGTCTCATACTCCTGGCCTCTGGTAATCTGCCAGCCCTGGCCACCCAAAGTGCTGGTAAAAATATATTATACCTTCATTAACATTAAACTCATAGTCAATACCACTGTAACTCATGCCCAAAGCTTATATAACACACGTATTTTCCTCATAAAGTATATCATAGCCTCCTTGCACTTAGGAACACTAGACTGCACTTTACCATTTTTCTTGAGGCCATTTAAACAGTGAAATCACCAAATAAAAGCACAAAAATATGAAAAATTTAACATTAAATAGACCATGAAAAGGGCACTTGTTTACAGAATGAGAGCTGAAACAAGAAGGCAGAGTATTACCTTGTTCAGCCGCAGCTGGGAATACATAGCTTACGAGACTCAATTTTTTTGCTGTTCTGAGCATGTGTATATCCATGAATGAGTGTGAAAGTGACACGCATATTTATTTTGGGATAACAAAGTTTAGCACGTAGCAAATTCACAAATATGGAATTTATGAATAGTGAGAACTGACTGTGTAAAGAATACTTGAGAAGCAAACAGACATAGCAAACGTGGATGAATTTCTAGGCAAAAAGCAAATATTTGTAACATTAATGATAATGTCCAATTTGGAAGAATATAAAATAAGCAAGACAAAACTTACTACTAATCCATAGTAATTACAGGGGAATAACTGCAGTTAAAGCCATGTAATATCCTTGTAAAGGAGAAAAGTAAGCATATTAATTAATCATAGATTTTGTCAGGTTAAATATGCATTTGAATATTTCTATGATAATTAGAGTGTATTACTTTTTTCTGCTAGAAAAAAATAAAAAGAATTCAGAAATAGGTTTGAAATAGAGCAATTTTTAAAAAGCAGTAGAAAAATAGAAAGTTCAAAATAAGATGGTAGAAATGAATTTAAATATATCAGTAATCAAAATAAATTTAAATAAAGTACGCTTTCCAGTTAAAAAACTGTAAAATTTGCCTATATTTTTAAATCTCCAATTAACTTATATTTATAGTGAAACAGTAAGTTTGAAAGTACAGTGATACACAGAAAAATAAAAGCAAATATTAATCAAAATAATATTGCTACAGACATACTATATCAGATAAAATTATCACAAAGGCAAAAAGCATTGCTAATGATAGCATGCCTACTATATATTATATATTAAAGATTATATTCAAATAAATCAAGAAATATATGAATGTTAAACTTGTATGTAACTAATAATATAGTGTTAAGATACGTAAAGCAAAAATAATATATTTACCATTGTTATGAGAGATATTAGCCCATATTCCTTAGTAGTTAATAGATTACTGAATAAAATGTCAATATGGATCTGGATGATTTCAGCAAACTATTTAAAAAACTACGTCTACTATATGTAAATCGAATCACACAACCAGCATTTGGAAAATAAAGAATTCTTTCAAGTACACATGGATGATACAAGAACATTGGTAATGTTGTAAGTCATAAAACAAATCTGGGCTTCCATAAAATATTTTCCAGTATTCATGCCAAGTCAGCCAAGTCATTTTACCACAAAGAAATTAAGTTACTATCAACAATGAAACAAGATACAAAATGCATTTATTGGGATATCAACAAACACAACTTGAAATAATTTATAGGTCAAAAAAGAAATTATAATGGCAAATAGATGTACTTACAATTAAATAATGATGAAATTTCTTTTTTTTTAAATTATACTTTTAAGTTTTAGGGTACATGAGCACAACGTGCAGGATAGTTACATATGTATACATGCGCCATGTTCGTCTGCTGCACCCATTAACTCGTCATTTAACATTAGGTATATCTCCTAATGCTATCCCTCCCCCTTCCCCCGACCCTACAACAGGCCCCAGTGTTTGATGTTCCCCTTCCTGTGTCCGTGTGTTCTCATTGTTCAATTCCCACCTATGAGTGAGAACATGCGGTGTTTGGTTTTTTGTCCTTGCGATAGTTTGCTGAGAATGATGGTTTCCAGCTTCATCCATGTCCCTACAAAGGACATGAACTCATCATTTTTTATGGCTGCATAATATTCCATGGTGTATATGTGCCACATGTTCTTAATCCAGTCTATCATTGTTGGATATTTGGCTTGGTTCCAAGTCTTTGCTATTGTGAATAGTGCCACAATAAACATACGTGTGCATGTGTCTTTATAGCAGCATGATTTATAATCCTTTGGGTATATACCCAGTAATGGGATTGATGGGTCAAATGGTATTTCTAGCTCTAGATCCCTGAGGAATCGCCACACTGACTTCCACAATGGTTGAACTAGTTTACAGTCCCACCAACAGTGTAAAAGTGTTCCTATTTCTCCACATCCTCTCCAGCACCTGTTGTTTCCTGACTTTTTAATGATTGCCATTCTAACTGGTGTGAGATGGTATCTCATTGTGGTTTTGATTTGCATTTCTCTGATGGCCAGTGATGATGAGCATTTTTTCATGTGTTTTTTGGCTGCATAAATGTCTTCTTTTGAGAAGTGTCTGTTCCTATCCTTCACCCACTTTTTGATGGGGTTGTTTGTTTTTTTCTTGTAAATTTGTTTGAGTTCATTGTAGATCCTGGATATTAGTCCTTTGTCAGATGAGCAGATTGCAAAAATTTTCTCCCATTTTTGTAGGTTGCCTGTTCACTCTGATGGTAGTTTCTTTTGCTGTGCAGAAGCTCTTTAGTTTAATTAGATCCCATTTGTCAATTTTGTCTTTTGTTGCCATTGCTTTTGGTGTTTTAGACATGAAGTCCTTGCCCATGCCTATGTCCTGAATGGTATTGCCTAGGTTTTCTTCTATGGTTTTTATGGTTTTAGATCTAACATTTAAGTCTTTAATCCATCTTGAATTAATTTTTGTATAAGGTGTAAGGAAGGGATCCAGCTTCAGCTTTCTACATATGACTAGCCAGTTTTCCCAGCACCATTTATTAAATAGGGAATCCTTTCCCCATTTCTTGTTTTTGTCAGGTTTGTCAAAGATCAGATGGTTGTAGATATGCGGCATTATTTCTGAGGGCTCTGTTCTGTTCCATTGATCTATATCTCTGTTTTGGCACCAGTACCATGCTGTTTTGGTTACTGTAGCCTTGTAGTATAGTTTGAAGTCAGGTAGCGTGATGCCTCCAGCTTTGTTCTTTTGGCTTAGGATTGACTTGGCAATGCGCGCTCTTTTTTGATTCCATATGAACTTTAAAGTAGTTTTTTCCAATTCTGTGAAGAAAGTCATTGGTAGCTTGATGGGGATGGCATTGAATCTATAAATTACCTTGGGCAGTATGGCCATTTTCATGATATTGATTCTTCCTACCCATGAGCATGGAATGTTCTTCGATTTGTTTGTATCCTCTTTTATTTCCTTGAGCAGTGGTTTGTAGTTCTCCTTGAAGAGGTCCTTCATGTCCCTTGTAAGTTGGATTCCTAGGTATTTCATTCTCTTTGAAGCAATTGTGAATGGGAGTTCACTCACGATTTGGCTCTCTGTTTGTCTATTATTCGTGTATAAGAATGCTCGTGATTTTTGCACATTGATTTTGTATCCTGAGACTTTGCTGAAGTTACCTATCATCTTAAGGGGATTTTGGGCTGAGATGATGGGGTTTTCTAGATATACAAACATGTCATCTACAAACAGGGACAATTTGACTTCCTCTTTTCCTAATTGAATACCTTTTATTTCCTTGTCCTGCCTGATTGCCCTGGCCAGAACTTCCAACACTATGTTGAATAGGAGTGGTGAGAGAGGGCATCCCTGTCTTGTGCCAGTTTTCAAAGGGAATGCTTCCAGTTTTTGCCCATTCAGTATGATATTGGCTGTGGGTTTGTCATAGAAAGCTCTTATTATTTTCAGATAGGTCCCATCAATACCTAATTTATTGAGAGTTTTTAGCATGAAGGGCTGTTGAATTTTGTCAAAGGCCTTTTCTGCATCTATTGAGATAATCATATGGTTTTTGTCATTAGTTCTGTTTATATGCTGGATTATGTTTATTGATTTGCGTATGTTGAACCAGCCCTGCATCCCAGGGATGAAGCCCACTTGATCATGGTAGATAAGCTTTTTGATGTGCTGCTGGATTCTGTTTGCCAGTATTTTATTGAGGATTTTTGCATCAATGCTCATCAGGGATATTGGTCTAAAATTCTCTTTTTATGTTGTGTCTCTGCCAAGCTTTGGTATCAGGATGATGCTGGCCTCATAAAATGAGTTAGGGAGGATTCCTTCTTTTTCTATTGATTGGAATAGTTTCATTTCTTTATAAGAAAATTACAGGATACAGCTAAAGCAATATTTAAATCAGGTTTTGGTAAAGGGTCAGGGGTAGATATTCCAAGCTTTGTGAGCTTCATATGGTCTTTGTCACCTGTTATTTTTTTATATTTTTATAAACTTTTAAAAATGTAAAAACCATTCTTAGCTTTAAGGACATAGAACATGGCTGGATTTGGCCTAAAGGCTGTAGTTTGCCAATCCCTGATTTAGAAGTTTATACATACAGGTTTAATTTCTATTGCACAAAAGGACAATGACTAAAAATTAATAAGCTCTGCATCCAGCTTAAAAATTAATAAAAGAACAAATCAAATAGACAATGAAATTGTACAGATAAGAGTAAATTAAATTGAAACATTTACTACAAAGATTGGTAAATCCAAAAGATGGTTTATTTGAATTAACGAATAAAATTGAACCAGTATATGTCTATTTAATTTTATCAAAGTGACAAAGGAGGAAATGACAGATGAGAATAATCCATTTATGAGATGGAAACATATTCTGATGTGCATTCAATCCTAGATTTATTGTAATTGTGAAATAGAATATAACCTGGGTGTCAGGGAACATAATTATGTGTGAATTATTTGAGAAATAACACTCTACACATGTCCCAGTTGAGGCTATATGCCAATCTGAAGTGGTTCTAATATAGTTTGACATTGTAATCATATTAGAGAAATTATTGTTTTGGCTTAATTAAAAAAATAGAAATCAATAGAAATGCCCTATTAAATTGCCAAAAATCCCTAAAACAAGTTGGGAGTGATTTATAATTAATTTTTTCAATACAAGAAATGATCAGCAGATAGATACTGCTTTTTTTGCTATGTGACAGGGACCATATTAGGCACTTTGTATATAGTGGAAAAAATTCAAATATGGTTATTGATCTCATGGAGCTTATAGCCATTAAATGTCTAAATATAAATTCAAAATCTAGTTACAAAAGTTGAAAAGTATTATGGCAGAAAATGGAAAGTGGTATGAGAAAAGAAAATAAGAGAGAACAGACTTACTGGGAAGTAATTATAGAAGTTTTCTCTGTGGAAGAGATATTTGGGGGGAAATTTCAAATATGAGTAGGAGTTAACCAAGTAAAAGATAAAAGTAGGCCAGAGATTGTTCCAGGCAGAAGCAGCAGCTATGGGAGACTCCTGATCTGTGGCATCATAGAAGCCAGTGTTTGAATTATCTTGTGAGAGGAGAAGAGAAACACAATGAATGAGGTGTGGTAGTTAAACTGGGGGTAGACCAAACAAATCTTAAAGGCCTTGGCAAAGAGCTTGGATTACATTTTTAATGAGGTGAGAAGTAGTAGAATGTTTTTAATATTTGAAAAATCACCCTAGATGCATGGGGAGATTGATTTAATAAGGAAGTGCATGGAATTAGGGAGGCAAATAGGAAGTTCTAGTGGTCAGATGTGACGTGATGATGGTGTGGGCCAGGGTTGCAGCAGTGGAGATGATGAGATATAAACAGATTTGAGGTATATGGTAGAAACAGAATTAACAGAGTTTTGTGGAATTGTGGTAGGAAGATGAAAAAATTCTTATCTAATGATTTCTGTTTTTCAGAGAAGTATGAGACAAGGTCAGCAGCTGAAAGTGTAAAGGTAGTGGTTCTTTAACCTTGGCTACACATGAGAATCATCCAAGCAGTTTAAAGACACATAAAACTGTGCCTAACCCCTAAGGATTGGTTTAATTGTTCTAGGGTAGGTCCCAGGTATCTTTAAAATTTCCCAAATAGTCTACTTAGGGCTAGGGTACACACCTACTTGTGGCACAAGTGAACTTTGAAGTACATTTAGTATGGGTAATTACAAATGTATAGTGATAAACCTTTTTTCTAGTTTCAAGAATCAGGAACTGAAAAAGCAAATAATTGAGATTATTCAAGGCCTTTGCTAGGCAATTGCGATGGGGAGAGAGAGGGTCAAATGCAGTATTTACAAAAGCATGATTGCGATGATGAGTTATGGAATCTAAGCTAGTTGAGGAAGGAAGACACAAGGATCTGGTAGTCTATAAGAAAGTTGGGGAGGGGGTTACTGGATGAGAGGTTTCAGGTAAGTCATTAAATGACTCAGCAAGGAGGAATTACAAGTGGTGATTGATACCTGCTTGCTCAACTTCAAAGGAATTGGGGATTTGAGAGATAAGAGAAGATTTGGTCTAAGAGGAGCAAAATAGACACCTACCTTTAGGTTTCAAAATAACAGCTGCAATGACTGAAAAGAAATACCCTCAGGAATATCTGTGTATAAGCTAAAGCAGAAAGTAAAAGGGAACATTTAAGAATAAATGGGATTTTTCAGTATGTTAGTTGTTTTTGTTATCATTATTTTTGTTATGATTTATTTTGTTATCATTATTATTCTGAGGTGCTTCCTAAGAAGAATTCTGTACAGCACCAGTGTATACCTACCACAAATATCTGAAAATTCCCTTATACACTGGGAAATTTAAAAATAATAGAAAATCCAGAATTCATCATACTTAATAATGGTGTCAGTGTCTACCTGTAAGACTAAGTAGTGGAGAAAATTCTATATCGATTTTTTGGAATAAAATTTGTGCTGTGGGTGTAGGGATTGTAGCAAGACAAGCCACAGACAAAACCCCTCAGACACCGAGTTAAAGAAGGAAGGGCTTTATTCAGCTGAGAGCTTTGGTAAGACTCACGTCTCCAACAACCAAGCTCACCGGCTGGATAAAAAATGAAAAGGATCCAGTCCACCTTCAGAAAGAAAAAATGGCCCTTCCTGTACTAAGGGACAATGTAACCCCTTAGAGCTAGTAATTACCAGTCCCCTTGATCCTTGCTGGAAGAAAGGGGAGCATGTGTGACCTTAGGAATCGATGGGGCTGGACTGAATCCTTGAGTAAATATCTTGGTTTGAGAAGAAGTTTACAAATGCTCTCCTGAACCGGTGTTTCAGACTTTCTATGATGAACTAAATGTGCCAGTACCAGAAATTCCAGGAAAAACAAGAAATTTGTTTTTGCAATTAGCCGAGCATGTAGCCCAGTCTCTCAACATCACTTCTTGCTGTGTATGTGAAGGAACTGTAATGGGAGATCAATGGCCACGGGAAGCCTGAGAATTAGTACCTACAGACTCAGTTCCTGATGAATTCCTGGCTCAAAAGAATCACCCTGATAATTTCTAGGTCCTAAAAGCCTCAATTATTGGACAATATTGCATAGCTAGAGAAGGAAAGTAATTCACTCACCCCGTAGGATGACTTAGTTGTCTGGGACAGAAACTGTATAATGGTACCACAAAAACAGTCACTTGGTGGAGTTCAAATCACACAGAGAGGAATCCATTTAGTAAATTCCCAAAGTTGCAAACCATGGGGACCCACCTGGAGTCCCACCAGGACTGGACAGCCCCCATTGGATTATACTGGATATGTAGGCATAGAGCTTACGCCAAATTACCTGACGAATGGGCAGGTAGTTGTGTTATTGGCACTATTAAACCATCTTTCTTCCTACTGCCCATAAAAGCAGGTGAACTCCTGGGCTTCCCTGTCTATGCTTCCCGCAAAAAGAGAAGCATAGCTATAGGAAGTTGGAAAGATGATGAATGGCCCACTGAGAGAATCATACAATATTATGGGCCTGCTACTTGGGCACAAGACGGCTTGTGGGTTTACCGGACCCCCATTTACATGATCAACTGAATCATATGGTTACAAGCTGTCTTAGAAATAATCATTAATAAAACCGGCAGAGCCTTGACTATTCTGGCCCAGCAAGAAACACAGATGAGAAATGCTATGTATCAAAATGGATTGGCTCTCAACTACTTGCTAGCAGCTGAAGGAGGGGTCTGTGGGAAATTTAACCTTACTGATTGCTGTCTACACATAGATGATCAAGGGCAAGCAGTTGAAAGTTGAAGACATAGTTAGAGATATGACAAAACTGGCATATGTGCCCTTACAAGTGTGGCATGGATTTGATCATGGGGCCATGTTTGGAAAATGGTTCCCAGTGCTAGGAGGATTTGAAACTCTTATCATAGGAGTTATAATAGTAATAGGAACCTGCTTACTGCTCCCTTGTTTGCTACCCGTACTTCTTCAAATGATAAAAAGCTTCATTGCTACCTTAGCTCACTAAAATGCTTCAGCACAGGTGTACTATATGAATCACTATCGATCTGTCTTGCAAGAAGACACGGGTAGTGAGAATGAAAGTGAGAACTCCCACTATTGAGTGAGATTCTCAAAGGGGGGGAATAAGGGAGGAGACCACCCCCATATTGTCTTATGCCCAGTTTCTGCCTCCAAAGAAAGGAGTAACAACTAAAAGGCAGAAATGAAATCCACAAGCAGACAGCCTGACGCCACACCCTGGGCCTGATAGTTAAAGATCGACCCCTGACCTAATAGGTTATGTTATCTATAGACTACAGGCATTATATAGAAAAGCACTGTGAAAATCCCTGTCCTGTTCTGTTCTGTTCTAATTACTGGTGCATGCCACCACCAGTCACGTACCCCCTGCTTGCTCAATTGATCACGATCCTCTCACACGGACCCCCTTAGAGTTGTAAACCCTTAAAAGGGACAGGAATTGCTCACTCGGGGAGCTCGGTTGTTGGAGACGTGAGTCTTGCCAAAACTCCTGGCTGAATAAAGCCCTTCCTTCTTTAACTCGGTGTCTGAGGAGTTTTGTCTGTGGCTTGTCCTGCTACAGGATAACATCAGCAACCTTAGAGTAACCGGTCATGGAGTTAATGCTGTACAGCATAGTAGTTGAAAGGCATGAGTGCTTCAATCATCTTGCTTGGGTTTAAATCACAGTTCTGCCACTTACAAAGTGTGTTACTTTGGGCAAGTTACTTAACTTTCCGTGCCTCCATTTTTTTCTGTCTGTAAAGAGAGATAGCAATAGTACCTACTTCATGGGGTACTATGCAAAGGTCTTAGAATACTATCTGGCACATAGTAAACATTCAATATGTGTTAGCTATTCTATGCAGATATACACACGTTGATATGCATTCCAAATCTTAAAATATGTGTTCTTTTAAATTCATATTAGATCACATCAGTCCCCTACTTAAAAACCTTGAGTAATACTTCCTATATTACTCTTGAAAAGAAATCTAACTCCTTTCCGTGATATGCCTCCCTCCTACTTCTCTGGTCTCATCTCTCTACCATTCTCCCCCCTACCATCCCTGAAGGTCAGTGCTCCAATCTCTCCTAGATATTGACATTTGCAAAGGTTTATGCTCCACAGAGCTAACACTCCTCCTTGGGGTTCATTTGTGTTCATAACATCCCTGGTGCATTCAGTTGAGCTTCACTTGCCCTTTTTCTTAATGCTACACATTTGAAAATAAGAAACACTCCTCGGCCCCACATAAAAAAATCACAGCTTGAAGCATGAAGTTCTCAGAAGCAAAATAAAACACTTCAGTATTTAAAAGTTAATCAGCATTTTAATTACTGTGCTTTAAGCTTTTCTTTTAAAAGAGAAAGCAAAGCACATTCATGCTGACAAACCAAGTTTTAGTCTGATGTTACTTGAAATGGCCATTAAAAACCCTTGAAAGGGAACTTAGAAGCAGGCAATGATAAAGTGGTAAAAGGGGAAGAATCCCCTGGGTGGGGAGTTACCCTTATCTGACGGTCTGTGCTTGTGTGTGTGGTTTTGAGGGTTACTTGGTCCCCATAAACACAAGGCGGAGTTTTACAGGATGTCTTAGAAGAGCAATAGCTAGACTGTGTCCAGGACTGTTGTGCCAGAAGAACCTTTTGTTTCTGGCATGCTAGGAAGCTAACTGGCTGCAAAGGAAAAGTGAAATGAGCTCACAGAAATGTGGGCTTTGATTAAACCATTATTCTAAATAAAGCTGCCTTTACTCCTCCAAAATCCAAAGTTGAATTGCAGGGTGGGGAGGAACTGAAGTATTCCCCCCTTCTCTTGCCACCTTCAAATAACGGCTTATTTAAAATACCTATTTTTTTTTGTGAAGTTTTGACAGTTCTCAACCCAGCAAGCAGTTTGTTTCTTGTCAGTTCCCCAGCCCTTTTCTGGCAGTCTGAACTATTTCATTGTGAACTCTGTTATGCTAGAAAGTCTTGACTTGAAAATTCTTCAGGGTCATAGAGGCCTAAGTATTTTCAGTGTTAACGACAGAGATTTTGAAATGAAAAATAATCTGTTTTCTTTTCTCAAGCAGTGGAAATATCCCAGGGCTGTTCATTATTTTGTACTTTGTTGATCAATTTTTCATACGTAGCCAATTTAGCCGACTTGTTAATCCATTTTCCTTCAGGAAGCTTTTTCATGGCCCTTCATTTCCATAGTGTAATGTTGTTGGCTCTGTCATTCCACTTACACTAATACGTTTTGTAACCTTATAAAAACTTTTGACAGGGCTGAGGCGTCTTCCAGAAAGCAGAAAAGCATAAATGCAGGCAGGTGTTTGCTGGTTTACAAAGGGTTAGTCTGAAATCTCAATTTCTGGACAGTGAGTGGTCTGTGAGCCTCTCACATGACCTAACAATAGCATTAATTTTCCACAGGAAAATAAAATAGTAACATTTTATCTTAACTTTAAATGATTTAAAGACACAGGACTAAGGAAATAGAAGGGAAGATGAATATCAAGAAATACAGTACCAGAAAGAATTCAAAAAATATAAAAGCAACATTAGAAATCACATAGCAAACCAAATCATTTTGTGCATGAGGCTCACCCTGTAAATTAGTGGTGGAAATGGGCTCAAGGATTAGGTCTTCTAACTCATTGACTAATATTCCTGTTTTTTCATTACCAGCTTCTGTTCGTTAAATGCTCCAAAAAACTACCAGCAAGTGTGACTGGTCTATGAAGGAATTAAAACAAATCAAACCAACCAAACAACAAATTTCACTTCCATTGTCATGTTTTAATATCATCTTGTAAATAGGTGTAACATTTGCCACATTTTAACTATTTGTTTATGTATCTGTCTTCCTAATTAGATTGTCCCTGGGGTGGGACTTCTTTTAATCTTTTGGATATTCCCAGTGCTTGAACATTTTCTGAAAGGAAGCCTAGGCTCAATAAATACTTATTGAATGGATACAATTTTATATCTCTATCACAATAGGAAAAAGATAAATCTCCCTCCCTAGTGATGGTAGATATTTCCAAAAGTTTCCCCATAGTTACTATCTTGCATGCTGTGGACTCTGAAGTTATTGCAATGCCTTTCCCTTATGCAGCTCTTTCTGGTGTAAGTAAAAGGATATAACAGAGGAAAAAAATTCTATAAAATAACCACTCAAGATCTCAGTATCAAAACCAAAGCAAACAAAAACAAAAACAAAAACCTATAAATTATTAAGTGATTGCACTTTAGGTTTATAGAGCATGTTTCATCTCAGGAACTCCCTGAGCTTTTAGAGAATCAGCTCTTTTTATCTTGACAACACTTTGGAGGTGGATAGGGGGTAGTATTATTTTGCTGATGGAAAAAATAAGGCTCAGTGGGGTTAAATGATTTGCTTGGGGTCACACAGGGCTCATTCTGTGTTTGTTATTTGTTTAGAAGTTGCTTCTGAAAAGCATTGCAGCTGTACTCTAGAGAAGCTATAAAGTAGCCATGGGTTGGAATCTGGTCCCTGAGATTTCCTGTATACAGGAAAAGTTAGGATGCTAGTTACAAGTTAGGCTGGGCATTTTGCCTGCAACATCTTAATGATGATGTTTCAGTTAGTGGAGAGACAGGAACCAGAATAATTTTGTTTCTTTGATCCTGATCCCTGTCATCTTATTCTCTTCCTTAACAGTTGAAATTCTTTGCCCTCCACTCTAAATTCGTCAGTTTTAAAGCTGTTACATACATATAGATTCTTCCACATAAAATTTGAGTTTAAAAATTATTGTCCAAAAGTACTTTCTCAATTCTTTTCACTAGGTGTTATTTCAATAAGAGATTATTTCTCTACTCTAAACACTTAACTATTTAAGTGGATATTACTGATAGCTGAAAAATTCTCACAAGACAAGCTAAATATGTCCACACCCATCCAGTGATACATTAAAATTCAATGGTCTTTGATTCAAAGTTTACTAGATGATTGTCATGTGCAGGCACAGTGCCATCAATTATGCCAATAAAAACCATTGGCACATGGCTCTACAATATAAACAGCACCATCATAAACATAATCACATTTGATTCTCTCAGCAGTCTTAGGAAATGGGCAGCAACATCTGCATTTACAGATGAAGAAAGTAAAGGTCAGAGACATGATCAGCCTCCAACAGAGAGCAAGCAAGTAATAAGTACTAGGCCTAGGATCTGAATGTCACATTTTGGATTTAGTATCTTCAATATCATCATAATTATCATCATCACAGCAACAAGACCAACATCTTTTTGGTAGTTATCAAGTCTTTCTATGTCCTAGGTACTTTGCTAAATATTTTCCACCTATTTCTAACTACCTTTAAAAGCAAAAAGATATCAATTATTAGGCACCACCTATATATCTGGCACTACGTGAAGCACTTGATCTTTATACTTTTGTTTAATCTTTAAACAACCCCAGAAAACTGAAGTCAGACAGTTATTTGTCTAAAGTTACAAAGTTAGATAATGGCAAATGATCTGTATTTTTATTTATACTTACTTTTTTATGGAGGCATGATTAATGTACAAAAAAATCCCTGCACACATTTGATGTATACATCTTAATACATTTTTAAAGATTATTTTACACCTGTGAGACAGTCATCATAAATAAACATAATCATAAACAAAAACATCACCTGTAAAGATTTCCTATACTCTCCACCTTTTTTTATGATAACATAAAATCTCCCCTCTTAATAAATTTTTAAGCAAATAGTACAGTGTTGTTAGCCATATGCTGTATAGTAGAACTCTGGGAATTATTCATTTTGCGTAACCAAAACTATATACCCTTTGAGCAATACCTTACTGATTCCTCCCTCCTCCCAGACCAAGGTAACCACCATTTTACTCTCTGCTTCTATGAGTCTAACTATTTTAGATGTTCAATATAAGTAGAATCATGTAATATTTGTTTTTCTGTGTCTAGCTTATTTCATTTAGTATAGTGTCCTTCACGTTTATGCATGTTGTTGCAAATGGCAGGATTTCCTTCTTTTTTATGATGAATAATATTCCATTGTATGTATATATTACATTTTATTTATCATTTATTTGTTGATGAGCATTTAGCACTTCCATGTCTTTACTATTGTAGATAATACTATAATGAACATGGGAGTGCAGATATATCTTTGAGATCCTGATTACAAATCTTTAGGGTATATACCTAGAAGTTGTATTGGTAGATCATGTGGTAGTTCAATCTTTTCATTTTTTGAGGAACCGCCACACTATTTTCCATAGTGGCTATGTAGCAGGACGAGCTGCAGACAAAACCCCTCAGACACCGAGGTGTAGAAGGAAGGGTTTTATTCAGCTGGGAGCATCGGCAGACTCACGTCTCCAAAAACCGAGCTCCCCGAGTGAGCAATTCCTGTCCCTTTTAAGGACTTACAACTCTAAGGGGGTCCACGTGAAAGGGTCATGATTGATTGCGCAAGCAGGGAGTATGTGACTGGGGGCTGCATGCCCCCAGTGCATACTGATTACCAGTGCATACTGGTAATCAGAACGGAATAGAACAGGACAGGGACTTTCACAATGCTTTTCCATACAATGTCTGGAATCTATAGATAACATAACTGGTTAGGTCAGGTGTCGATCTTTAACCAGGCCCAGGGCGTGGCGTCCAGCTGTCTGCCTGTGGATTTCATTTCTGCCTTTTAGTTTTTACTTCTTCTTTCTTTGGAGGCAGAAATTGGGCATAAGACAATATGAGGGGTGGTCTCCTCCCTTACTCATACTAATTTACATTCCCAGCTACAATTTGTAAGGGATCTCTTTTCTCCACATCTTTACCAATAATGATTTTTGTTTTTGCTAGTAGCAATTCTAACAAGTATGAAGTGATATCTCATTGTAATTTTGATTTGCATTTCTCTGATGATTATTGATGTTTACTACCTTTTTATATACCTATTGGCCATTTATATATCTTCTTTGATCTATTCATGCTTTTTGCCCATTTTTAAATTGAGTTATTTGATTTTTCAGTATTGAGTTATAGGAGTTCCTTGTATATTTTGTGTATTAACCATTTATCTGATATATAATTTGCAAATATTTTCTCCCATTCTGTAGATTGCCTTTTCACTTTGCTGATTATTTCCTTTGGTGTGAAAAATAGATCATTTGATGTAGTCTCACTTCTTTGTATTTACTTTTGTTGCCTATACATTTGTATCATTATTCAATAAACCATTGCCAAGACCAGTGTCAAGAAGCTTTTTTCTTATGCTTTCTTCTAGGATTTGTACAATGTCATGCCTTATATTTAAGTCTTCATCTCATTTTGGGTTGATTTTTGTATATAGTGTAAGACAGAGTTGGCTGGGCATGGTGGCTCACTGCCTGTAATCCCAGCACTTTGGGAGGCTGAGGTGGGCAGATCACCTGAGGTCGGGAACTCAAGACCAGCCTGACCAACATGGAGAAACCCCATCTCTACTAAAAATACAAAATTAGCTGGGCGTGGTGGTGCATGCCTGTAATCCCTGCTACTTGGGAGGCTGAGGCAGGAGAATTGCTTGAACCCAGGAGGTGGAGGTTGCAGTGAGCTGAGATTGTGCCGTTGCATTCCAGCCTGGGCAACAAGAGTGAAACTCTGTCTCAAAAAAAAAAAGATAGGGTTTAATTTCATTTTGTCTACATGTAGATATTTAGCTTTCCCAGCACCATTTATTAAAGAAGCGATTCTCTCCCTATTGTGTATTCTTGCCCTCCTTGTCAAAGATCAGTCCACTGTAAATATGTGGGCTTATTTCTGGGCTATTGTGTTTCATTGTGGATATTTCTGTTTTAATGCTAGTACCATACAGTTTTGATGACTATACTTTTGTAACTTATTTGGAAATCAGGAAGTGTGATGCCTCCTGCTTTGCTCTTCTTGCTGAATATTGCTTTTGCTATTTGGGGTTTCTGTGGTATCCCAGGAATTATAATATTGCTTTTGTTTTCTATTTCTGTACAAATAAATGACAGGAATTTTGATAGGGAATTCTTTGATCTGTAGATTGCTTTGTGTAGTAAGGACATTTTGACAATATTAATTCTTTCAATCTGTGGACATGTGATATGTTTCCATTTATTTATGTCTTTTCCAATGTCTTTCATCAGTGTTTTACAGTTTTCAGTGTACAAGTATTTCAGCCTCTTGGCTGTTTATGCCTAAGTGTTTTGTTCTTTTAAATGTGATTTTAAATGATATTGTTTTCTTTGTTTCCTTTTTTGATAGTTTGTTGTTAATGTAAAGAAACACTACTGGTTATGTTGAGTTTATGAGTCTTTAACCCAATGAACTTGTCTTTTGCATGAGGACATATGATGCATATTCTTTAAGCATAGCTCCTAAGGAGAAGAAGCCATTGATAGCCCTGGAACAGTGTTAAGTTTCAGAGACTTTAAAATGTATGTATATTATATAAAAATGAATAATCTGAAATTAAAATGATTCTATGTATTTTAGCATTAAAATAATGATATAATTAGGAATAAGTTTGACAAAAGTAGTGTAATACTTTTGCACTGAAAACTACAAAACATTATTGAAAGAAATTAAAGAAGACCTAAATAAATGGAAAGACATCTGTGTGCATGGAATAGAAGATACTATTTTTAAGATGAAAATACTCCTTGTATTGGGCTAAATTTGTGGCCCCTTCAAAAGATATGCCCATTTCCTAATCCCTGGTCCCTCCTAATGTTACTTTATTTGGCAAAACATATGTTCTTTGCATATGTAATTATGTTAAGGATCTTGTGATGAGGAGATCATCCTGTATTATCTAGATTGGTCCTAAATGAAATGACATGTATCCTTAAAAGAGTGAGTCAGAGAAAGAATTGACACAGGTCAAAGAGGACGGGGCAATATCATCACAGAGGCAGAGACTAGAGTAATGTGGCCACAAGTCAAGGAATGCCAAAAGCCACCAGAAGCTGAAAGAGGGAAATAACATATTATCACTGTCTCCATTTTCCTTAACTAACTCATAAAGTGACAATTGACAGGAAACTCTAGAGGCGGTGTGGCTCTGCTGACACCTTGAATTCCTGCCTTCAGAACTGCAATACAACAACATTTTATAGATTTAAGCCACCAAATTGGTGGTAATTTGTTACAGCAGACACAGGAAATGAATACACTCTCCCAGTTTATTTACAGATCTCGTAAATCACTATTAAATTTCCAACTTCTTTTTTTTTAGCAGAAATTGACAAGCTCATCCTAAAATTCATACAGAAATGCAAAGGATCTAAAATAACCATAACACTCTTGAAAAAAAAGAGGAACAAAGTTGAAACACTCACATGTTTCAATTTCAACACTTACTACAAAATTATAGTAACTCAGACAGTGTGGTGTTTGGCATAATGGTAGGCATATAGATTCGTGGAATAAAATTGAGATTCCAGAAATCAACCCATATATTTATGGCAAATTGATTTAGACAAGGTTTCCAGAAAGAATTCAACAGGGAAAGCACTCTTCAAAAAATAGTTCTGGGTCAACCGAATATCTGCATATAGAAGAACAAACTTGGACCGCTTCCTCATGTCATATATAAAAATTAATTCAAAATAGATCATAGACTTAAGCATAATAGTTAATATAGTGTTTAACTTAACACTTTAACTTAGAAGAAAACACAGGAGTAAATCTTTGTGACCTTAGGTTAAACCATGACTCCCTATCTATGACAGCAAAGCACAACTGACAAAAGAAAAATAAATTAGAATTCATCAGAATTAAAAACTTCTGTGTTTCAAATGACACCATAAAGGAAGTGAGAAAGACAACACTCAGAGTAAGAGAAAATATTTCAAATTAATACTTCTCATAGGGGACTGGTATTCAGAATGCATAAAGAACACTCATAACTCCATAATAAAAGACAACCAAATTAAAATATGAAAAATGATCTGAGTAGACAGTTCTCCAAAGAAGTTGTGCAAATGGCCAATAAGCACATAAAAAGGTGTTTATCATCATTAGTAATAAGGGAAATGCAAATCAAAACCACAATAAGATACCACAGCATATTGACTAGCATGTCTAGAATAAAAAAGGCAGACAAAACAAGGTTTGTTGAAGTGGCTGCTAAGAATGTAAAATGGTGCACTCACTGTAGAAAACGGTTTGAGAGTTATCAAAAGTTAATAATAGACTTACCATATGACTTAACAATTCCACTCCTAGGTATATACTCAAGAGAATTGAAAACACATGTTTACATACAAACTTGTATTCAAATGTTTATAGCAGCATTATTCATACTAATCAGCAAATGGAAACAATCCAAATGTCCATCAACTGATGAACAAATACAAAATGTCATATATCCATACAGTGGAATATTACTTGGACACAAAAAGGATTAACCTTGAAAACATGCTAAGGAAAAGAAGTCAGTCACAAAATACCCTATATTGTATGGTTTTATTTGTATAAAATATCCAGCATAGGATAACTATACAAACAGAATGAAGATTAGTGGTTGCCCGGGACTAGGTGTGGGGGTAGAGTTTGGAGGAAATGTGAAATGAATGCTAATCTGTATGAGGTTTCTTTTTGGAATTACTAAAATGGTCTAAAATTGTGGTGATGGGTGCACAATTTGGTGAATGTACCAAAAACCATTGAGTTGTGCCATTTAAACTGGTGAATTATATCGTACCTGAATTAAACTGCAATAAATTTGCTAAAAAATCAACTACAACTCCAACTAAAACATAACACTAGCTCCTTCTAAGAAAGGCATCCTTTGAAGGTCATGTAACCTTTATTCTTTTTGTTTACAGACATCAAGGAAAAAGCTACTGTTTTAGATATATCTGGGTATAGATCCAAAAATATATAGCTTATTATCATAAGCTAGTAAGTGAAGGATTCAAAGTTCAAAAGACACTCATAAATTAGATTTTCTTACCCAGAGTGAATATTGGGCTCTGCAGTAAAGCTACCATATTATCAAACCTAAGTGCTAATTGTCCAAGAGGCTGTCAGCACTAGCCACCTGGTCTCTTTTCTCCATTTTACCCAGCTAACTCCTACAGTGCAAAGTAGAACTTTCCATGTTTCAGTGATTTAATAACTCCTATTATCCTCAGCCAGATCATATATACACAAGTTCTCCCCACTCACTAAACTTTAACCATATCAGTACATCTAGCACATGGATTTTGATATTTTCTTTATAACATATGTAATTTCCTTTCTTCACTTCTGCAACTACCTAGGTCACATTCCTGATAATGTTGACCAATTCGCTCTCTACAAGACTCTGAATTCTCTAGTTTTCTATCCTTTTATTTTACCCTTTTATAAGAAATAGGGATTTGAGAAACCTATTGATGGGTCATTTTAAGATCTGCATATTTCATCAGGATTCAGACTACCTGGGGATCTTTTTAAAAGGCAAAGTATGATTCAGGACATCTGGGGTGGGCCTCAGGTTTTGTATTTTTAATAAGCTCCCAAGTGAGGCCACAGAATACACTTTGAGTTCCAAGATTGTAGGAAAGCACTTCACAAAAAATCAAACTGGATAGACTAGAACAATTCTAAAGTCAATTCCCCTCTATTAAGCTTATACAACTGCCTAACTATTATCTTTCTGTAGAAACTCTCTAGCATTCTGCAGAGGTTATATGAAAGCTTCTTCACCTTCTGTTTTCTGCTCTCTGCCTTTTTTCAGCCAGCCACCTTTCTTTTTGTACCTCCTAAAAGAGTGGTTCTCAACCCTGTTGCATGTTAGAGTTACTTGAGGGAGGTTTAAAAAATTCTAATGCCTAGGCTATATTCCAGAACAAATAAATCAGCACATCCTTGATAGGGTGTTAGTTTTCAAAACCAGCAAGATGACTCCAAGTTGCAGCCAAATTTGAGAGTCTCTGATCAAGAATGTAATCAACATCCAGCCATCCAGTATTAAAATTACATGAAACCATAGGCATGCTATTTCGGATTTAATGTCAATTTCTTTATGTGTGTTTCTGGTTTATGTATCCACCCACTTTCCCAGCAATCATACATTATTATTTAGTAAACATTGCATGGTACTTTTCCATCTTGAAATACACAAACAAATAAGCTTTTAATGCATGAACTATCAATTGAGTGAGAAATTTCTTAAAACATTGAAGATTACTTAGAGATAGGACAGTTTTGTTTCTAGCTGATTGTGAACTTATAATTATTTTATTAAAATTAAAGACATTAGGGTAACCTAATATTCAATTGAAAATTGCACATTTCATTCTGTTGCTTTAGCATTGAGTGGATAAATTATTTGAATTGAATGTGTTTGTTTTTAGTGATGTTGCCTGTGTTTGTTTATAGTGACAGCCTAGTTATCTTTGTATAGTGCCCATTAGGGCATTCTCTGTAACTAAGGGCACTTACACAATTTTCACACATTTTTACATCCCTTGTATTTCTGTATTTGGATTTATTGAAAGGGACAGTGAGTCAGACACTTAGGTTACCTAACCATTTTTATCTAAGTCCTCTATGTTACTATATAAGAGAAAACTCAGGGCACATGTGTTGGGAATGGTTCAGAAAGGAGTTCTCTCTCTCTCTCTCTCCTTTTATAAGTCTATCTTTTCATCTATCTTTTACAGAGGGAAAGAGAATTTCAGAAAACAATGAGCCATTTGAATGCCACCAACTGTACAGGACCTCTGTATAGTCCATTCTCATACTGCTATAAAGAACTTCCTGGGACTGGGTTATATGTAAAGAAAAGAAGTTTAATTGACTTACAGTTCTGAATGGCTGGGGAGGCCTCAGGAAACTTATAATTATGGCGGAAGTCACCTCTTCACAGAGCGGCAGGAAAGAGAAGCAGCAAGCAAGGGAGGATCTACCACTTATAAAACCATCAGATCTTGTGTGAACTCACTCAGTATCTCTAGAATAGCATGGGGGGAACTGCAACCATGATGCAATCACCTCCCAGCAGGACTCACCCACGACACCTGCGGATTACAATTCAAGATGAGATTTGGGTGGGGGACACAAAGGCTAACCATATCAACCTGTTTTTCACTATAGTTACAGTTTTAGGATGGGACATATGCAAGTGTCCAAGGGTGATTGTGGCTACATTAACAGGAAATCTTTAGGCAATGGGGTTTCCCTCTAAAGTAGCTTCACCCTGAAACAGCTGGGATCTTTCTTAATGTGGTAAGGAGTAAAAGAAGAAAAGAAAGAAAAGAAGTTGGGTGTTACCACACTTTGATTCTTGGAATAGAAACTGAGCCAAACTGGCTGAGAAAGGTCACACTTTTGCCAAAGAAGCTTAACAGAACTCAGGGGAAAATAAAAACTTTCAAAGGAGACTCTCCAATACTAGGACTTTTAGTGCCAGCATATTCTCTACTCCACACAGTACACTGCACTGATGGTCTTGCTATTACAATCATTTCAATTGACTCTGCTTCAGAGCTGAGAAGAAAGTTCTAATGAGCTTAAATGAACAATAAGGGGAGTCAATGATAATCCACCCACACTAGTTTTGGATAAATGCCAGTTCTGAATAAATTCTTATTCATACGTGAGTAGTAACAAGGTCTTCCTATATGGAGCCTACTCAAAGTTATTGCAACAAATGGAGACAGACACCTTGCATTCAAAAAAGAGAAGAAAAGCATAATTTGAAAAAGGAAGTTTTCTTTCCCTACAGGAAATAGGAGAAAATTCAGGATGAGTTTACATCTTTAAAAATTAATTAAAATATATTTTAGGTAATGATATAACAAGAAAACAAGCTGAGATACGAATGGGAGCTGGCTTAAAGAGAAGAAAAGGAAAAAAAACACAACTAGGAAAGGAAGAATATATCTTAAAAATAAGAAAGAATCACTGAATTAATAACTGCATTAGAAACAAGGGCAGACTCAAAACAGAAATGTGGAATGTAAGCTTATGAAATGTTCATAGAACACTGAGAAAAGGACAAAGACATTGGATCTGAGAGATGATGATTGATGAGCACTGTCATCAGCTAAATATAGTGAGTTTGATTTTTGAATACTGATTTTGTGATGTCTACAGACATTTGTGGTTGAGCAGGAGGCAGGGGAACGTGGGATGACCCTTACATAGCGTGAAAATGAGGAGAAAGTTTGGCACCAGAGGTGCAGATTTGGAAACAGTGACATATAGGAGAGAAAACCAAGGGTAGCATTTTCAGCCACGGGCTTTCTCTATCATGCTTTATTGTAGTTGCTTGTCTAATTATTTTGCCACCATTAGACGGAAGCTTCATGAAGAAATATGTCTTTTGTATTCACCGTTGTATTTCTGGGGCCTAGAAAATAGGGTTGACAATTTGTGTCAAATAGATGAATGAAGAGAAGAGAGTTGAATGAGCCACAGAGAAGCCAGGACTTGGAAGGTCAGTATAAAAAGGAATGCTGTTGGAAAAGAATTAAAGAAGCAGCAATAGTAATGGCAGGAAATAGAAGGAGGAAATGCTATTGTAGAAGCCACAGGAATAAAATGTTTCAAGTATCACAACAGGCCTAGCAGTGTTAAATCCTACAGAGAGGTCAAAAAAGATGGGAATTTTAAAGAGACCTTTAGATTTAGCAAGAAAGAAGTCACTGGTGTACTCTGTATGATTAAAATCGGTCAGGAGCAGAGTTGGAAACTGAAGACTAGAGAGTTAGTTGTTGCCTCCTGTACAATAAAGAGGGCTTTTTTGTTTGGTTGGTTTTTGGCAAAACATCTAAATATAAAATGTTTTGAGGAAGAAAGAGGATAAAAATGATCTTTATTGTACATTTTTAAATAACCAGAAGAGTATAATTGGAATGATTGTGACACAAAGAAATGATAAATGCTTGAGGTGATGGATATCTCATTTACCCTGATGTGACTATTGCATATTGTATGCCTGTATCGAGGTATCTCATGTACTCCATAAATATATGCACCGACTATGTATCCATAAAAATTAAAAAAAAAAATTAAACCTTGTGTCTCTTAAACATAAAAAAAGAAAGAAAAAAGTTTCCTTTAACATTCATTTGTAACATCTTCTAGTGTTTCCATATATTTTGTATGGATTATTTTCTTTTACTGCCACAAAACTTTTGTGGTAAGCATTTGGGGCGAAGAGACAGGAGGGTGGTGAATTTGTTGGTCATTACTTTGTTAGTATGAGGCAGAAATGAAATTGGACCTTTGGACTTCTGACTTCTGTCCTGTTTCCATCAGGTCACACTTTCTCCTGCCAACATTCCGAGAAAATAACAGGGGAAGCCACTGTGATGCTTTTACTATTGTATGTACCGGTTAGAAAAGGACACCGTTGATTTATTGCGCGAAGGAAAGAAACGCAAAAATAGTATTAGTATCTACTGGAAGAAATGACTGCATTTTTTTCTACTGTGAGAAGAAAATATTGCATCCTCACCTCTTTATCTTTTTCTCTGTTTCTCCCCACACCCATCTCTTCACTTCCCTCCCCCTTCCATTGCAGTCACATTTCATCTGTAATATTAGATTTTTCAATTTATAAGTCAGGATGCTGAAAACACAGTTAAAATAAATTGATGTAAAAAAGCAAAAAAAAAAAAAAAGAATACAAATTACTTCTCTAGTTTTTCACATTAGTCAAGGTGCTGGCAATTAGGGATGATGGAGAAAATTGTCCACCAAATGCTTGTAATCACTTGAGTAATCTAAAACTTTCATTATCAAAAGATAGTCATGCTATATCTCATTAACAAAATGTAGCTCTTAACAAAGCCAGTCAATACACCAAGAACAACTGACAAAATCAGAAGTACATTTAGATGCTTGACATTTGAAAAGGATGAATTATAGAAGATATTTTAAGAAAGCTCTCTAGTTTATGCTTCATCAAATAATTTGGTTCCTTCCAGCTTTTTTCTTACAAGTACACCATAGTGAAGGGTCTTTCAGATGTGGTTGTTGTTTGCTTGGTTGACTTCCTAGCTCCTGTGTGACAAATTTGTAAATGATACAGTTAAACTGTGTCCTTTAGGAAAATTATACATTACTACAGTTCTTGAGCCCTCAAGAGCACTTGGAAGCATTTTAACTGTGGTGTGATGATTTCTCATTGTAGTTGTGATTTGCTTTTCTCTGATAATCAATGATGTTGAGCACCTTTTCATATGCCTATTTGCCATTTGTATGTCTTTTGAGAAATGTCTATTCAAATATTTTAAGCTTTTTTTTTTTGTTTTTTTTGAGATGGAGTTTTATTCCTGTTGCCCAGGCTGGAGTGCAATGGCACGATCTCTGCTCACCACAACCTCCGCCTCCTGGGTTCAAGCTAGTCTCCTGCCTCAGCCTCTCGAGTAGCCAGGATTACAGGCATGCGCCACTATGCTCAGCTAATTTTTGTATTTTTAGTAGAGATGCGGTTTCTCCATGTTGCTTATGCTGGTCTTGAACTCCCAACTTCAGGTGATCCGCCCACCTTGGCCTCCCAAAGTGCTGGGATTACAGGCGTGAGCCACTGCATTTGGCCTTAACCCATTTTTTTGATCAGATTGTTAGATTTTTTTTTTCAGTAGAGCTGTTTGAGCTCCTTATATATTCTGGTTATTAATCCTTTGTCAGATGGGCAGTTTGCAAATATTTTCTCCCATTCTGTAGGTTGTCTCTTCACTTTGTTGCTTCCTTTGCTGTGCAGAAGCTTTCTAACTTGATGTGATTCCATCTGTCCATTTTTGCTTTGATTTCCCTGTTATTTCACATTGCATGCCTGTATCAAAACATCCTATGTACCCCATAAATTTATATACCTACTCTTGACCCACAGAAAATTTGAATAATAATAATAAATTTTAAAAAGAGCACATATGGGTAGTAGATCCTAAGAATGTAAAACTGAAGAATGTTTAATATCTGTTCTAACACACCTGGTTCACTATAGTTAAAATGATCAGGTTTATGAACAAATTTAATCAAAAGTTATTGTAATAATTTTTCTCATTGAATAACTTTCAAAAAATGTGTAAAGCCGGGCGCGGTGGCTCACGCCTGTAATCCCAGCACTTTGGGAGGCCGAGGCGGGCGGATCACGAGGTCAGGAGATCGAGACCATCCCGGCTAAAACGGTGAAACCCCGTCTCTACTAAAAATACAAAAAATTAGCCGGGCGTAGTGGCGGGCGCCTGTAGTCCCAGCTACTCGGGAGGCTGAGGCAGGAGAATGGCGTGAACCTGGGAGGCGGAGCTTGCAGTGAGCCGAGATCCCGCCACTGCACTCCAGCCTGGGCGACAGAGCGAGACTCCGTCTCAAAAAAAAAAAAAAAAAAAAAAAAAATCAAAAAATGTGTAAACATTGGTAAACTGAATGTGTCAGTTTATCAACTCTTTGTAGCCATAATGTGTTACAGAAAAACAATCCTATTGCTAAAGAACAAAGTTATCAAGACGAGCAAATAAAAATACCAAATAGTTAACATCATTTCTGGAACCAACATATAACAATATCCAGCTTAATCAACCTTATAGAATGATTTCTGATTTAAAAATATTCTTTTGGCTGGGTGCAATGGCTCACCCTTGTAATCCCAGCACTTTGGGAGGCCAAGATGGGTGGATCACTTGAGGGTAGGAGTTAGAGACCAGCCTGGCTAACACAGCAAAACCTTGTCTCTACTAAAGATAGAAAAATCAGCCAGGCTCAGTGCTGCATGCCTATAATCCCAGATACTTGGGAGGCTGAGGCTCAAGAATTGCTTGAGCTCAGGAGACAGAGATTGCTGTGAGAGATAGTGTCACTGCACTCCAGCCTGGGTGACACAGAGAAATTATCTATCTATCTATCTATCTATCTATCTTTGGTTATTCCTAAAGTAATAAGGCAATGTGATTTTTGAATAGGTAAACAAACATAAAAAGATGGAGTTCCCAGCATTTCTTGGAGTTGTAGGAGACCTGGTAATCAAACCTATTGGAGTTCATTATATATCTAGTGCCTTTTTATAGTATGATAGACATTATATAATTCTCCCAAATTGCCCAGTTCTGTGGTTGCAGAGTTAAGGCTTAAATCTAGAACTCTCTCAGTTCTTAATTTTATATTCTCCTTATTAAAAGCAGGAAGGGGTCTTAATTAATAAAACACCGTGAAACTGGTAGACTGATGGACACTTGGGCATCCTATACAAGTCGTTCCCACATTGGGTAGGATCTTGAAGTACATATGGTTCTAGCGTTGTTTTGATTTTTGTACATAATATATAATAATACATTGATGATATCAGATTCTGTATCAGAATTTAACATGAGTGCACAACCAGTAGAAATCTTTACAAGGAACTCATTAAAGCAATTGTGGAGGCTGGCTAAGCAAGCCTGAAATCTGTCAGGCAGGGATTCAGGAAGGGAAAATGACATGCGAGCAGTTTAGAGCCTCACAATCATAAGCTGAAGCATCTCTGTGAATTTCAAGGTCCATGAACAAATGTGTATGAATCACAACTTGGACAACAACTTTTCAAATACATTGTCTTGCCTATTTATAGATTTTATGTTTTTCCTAATAAATGCTAAGTGAATCTTAGCATTCATAGGTTTTAATTTGTTCCAATTCGTAGGTTTTAAAATGTGGTGCTGGCATATTATGGCTATAAAGGAAATATAGCAAATAAATTAGTGAAATTAAATTTTTGACATAAAGAAAATGTATGCAAGCTTCCATAAGAATATGATTCTGTGCATCTGCTGTATGGATGTTACTGTTGCCTTATAAGTTGATACTGGATACAAAGTTGATACAAAGAAAGATCACTAAAATCCTTGCAAGAGTGAGAGCTATAGTAGAGGGCAGCAGTGGCTGGGCAAATGTGTAATGAGACTAGAAAAATTGTGATCTGGAATAAAAGTCAGGGTTTTTGCTTCCTTGGCTGGTTTCTGTCTCCTTATACTAACCACAGGGGAAGCACATGAGTTCTGAAATAGTACAGTATGAGTTAAAATGTCAAAATGCTCTCAAAAGTATAAAGTATTAGAAATGACTAATACTTAAAATTAGGGAAAGAGAAGCTACACTTTTTAGGAAAAAGGACCCATTTTGAGGTTGAAAGCAAATGTATTCTGTCTGTAATTCATGTCATAATTAAATACTTAGGCTTTAACTTTCCATCAGCCTAAGAGATATATATTTCTGTTTTGTTTATTAGCATTTGGAAGTTAGGGTGAAAAATAGTTCAAGTGGGAGGTCCCAGGACAATCTCAGAGGTAAACAGTGAAAAAACATTTTGCCAAGATGGTAGAAGCCTAATGAAAAGAGATCACAAATTTTTGTAGCCTCATCAAATTTATAAAGGAAATGTTTCATGTAAGTGTTTCTGCTTTGAAACTTGAAATATTTTGAAGCTAAAAATTTAAACCCACATCAAGAAACATTTGTATCAGTACTATATTTCAATATGTTTTACAGGAAATGCTAAGGATTGAAGAGAAATCCAGACATGCATTTAGAAGCAGATTACTAAGGTGTATGATAGGATCTCAAAGATGGATCATAAGATCTATTCATATGCAAAACTGTGACTAATTTACTAATACAAATCTCTCACACATGATTTCAAATCTTAGTGTTTTGAATTTCCGTAAAGCAGTAAAATTATTATTTATATATTCTGAGTGAGGTGGTCGAAACCTATTTGAAAAAAATATACGTTACTGTGTCAGAATCAGGGGTTTTCACATGTTTATGTACTTCATATAGAAAACTGATTACATTTGTCATTTAACATCTAAAGAGGGAGAATATTTGGTTTCAATAATGACTTGAGATGTAATGTTTCCAAAAAAAAGAAATCACTCATATATAAGTTAAAGAAGCTTTGAAAATTCCATGAGTGAATTAAACTAAATTTGATAAACTTTTACTGCGTGCCTATTATTTATCAAGCAGCAGGCTAAGCTCTGGAAATAGAAGATAATTATCACTTAGACATCTTTAAAGAGTTCTTAGTCAAATAAGAAAGACAGACATGAAACCGAAAAAATTGCAATGTAGTGTGGTAGATCCTCTAACAAAGACATTGGCAAGATAGAGCATTCAAGAGGAGTAAATTGAGATGAGCAGGAAAGAATATTTGAATAGTGAGTCAGGTTCATTACATAAACTGCTATCATTCCTTTCAGCATTTCATGCTGATCACGGATAGGACCTGTGTGTGCTAGAAAAAAAATGAAATATCTGTGATTTTTCTTGAGTTTGGTTAACAAATGTGACCTTGTTTTCCTTCATCAAAAAAATGTACATTTTTTATCCATGAGCATCTTTTATCTTGGAGTGAGAGTTAAGACTCACTTTTTGTTTATTCCAAGCTGCATAGATTTGTATCTATTTAGTGGCAGTATCAACTATTAAATGATGATCTCATTTATGCAGTAGATTAATTGAATCTATTGTTTTATGTAAACATTGAAATAACACTGATTGTAACAAATTGAAATGCTATTGATAATACCACACATAATATTTATCATGCACTTATTTTGTGTGAAGCTCTTTGTAAATCACTTTATATGTTACCCTATTTTATCCCCATAAGAATTCTACGAAGTAAACATGTTATCCTCCTCTTCCAGATGAAGAAATGGAAGTACAATGGTTATTCAATCTGCCTGAAGCCTCACATTTGAGAAGTGATGTAGTTGAGATTGGAATTCAGGTTTACCTTATAACAGAGATTGTGTTCCTTAGCCACTTTACTAGATTTATATACAAATGAACTCCAAAGCAGAGGCAAGACATGAACTGAGAGAGAAACTTTAATACAAAATCTCTAATTTGTCAAGACTCAAGGAATTAGAAGATAAGAATATTTTAAAAGGGCAAATAGCTTGGGTTTAAAGGAAAACATCACCCACCCAAAAAATTCTCCGTATTTATAATGTATTTTTTCTTTATGTTTAGCTTATAGAATATTGTATAATTACTGGTGATTTTTTTGTCAGCTCAGTGTATAAGAACATGGGGAATATTATTTCTAGTTATTTCTAATTATTCTAATAATTATTTCTAATTATTCATATACAATGAAAATTATTTTCCAAGTTTTCCTGAAAGTTGTAGATAAAACCAGTTCTAAACCTAATATTCTTCGCTTTGGTCCATATATATGTCCATTATATGTAAAAAATCCTGACAATATTTGCAAGCTGTTTAACCCATTATCATATTTTTTTTTTTTGTAAAAAAGGTACTAATTTTTTTTCTAAAACATTTGGTAAGAATGATATGGTCAATATTACTCTACAATGCTATTAATATTGATATGAAATTTTATCTCATTTCATCAAAGCTTCATTGATATTTATAGATATTTTATGTCTTTAGGTTTATTTTGCATTTTGTACCTTTTTGCTTTGCTCATATTAAAAATGCTCAAAGGATCCCCTGGTTAAATCTCTTGCACTCAGGCAATTAGGTGATATTCCTGTTTTCCAAATAAACTCACTGAGGCCATGGTAGTTAAGAAATGTTGCAAGGGCATACAACTTGCTAGTGGTACCATGAGGATTTGACATTTGTCTGCCTTTTCCAAAGTTTCACAAAGCCATTTATTGACCGAAAATTAACTTAAAATGTAGAGATACACTGGTCTTATGTAAGATGATTTTTACAAAGAAACACACATTTATTTTCAATTCTACCCAAAGAAATTGTCCTATATCAATCAATTTTAACTAGCACTGAATTTGAAAATAATTGTTAGCTCCATTTCTAGAAGAAATATCACACTGATTTTTGTAAAACCTGGCATTTAGCACAGCTCACATGAAATTGTATGATACATGATTATCATGCAGCTCAACCTCAACTGTGCATAAAGCAGATTTCTTTTGCTGTGGGATCTGGCAAGGTCAGATTGTATCTGTAGGATTAATTTCTTCTATTCATGAGATGCAACACCTGCTGCTGTATAAATTGTTTAATATAGCCCTCTCTGAGTTGAGTATAAAAGTAATTGTATACTTGGCGGTCAAATATGATTTTTGAAAACAGCAATCTCCAAATACAAAGTAGCCCCTAGAGGAATAAAACTTTAGTGGACTGTTCCCAGGGTGTCTTCGGTGATGGAGCCTGGGCATGTAGTGGACATCTGTTGTTTTTGCCGGACCAACATCCACTCTCCATTCTTCTCATAACAACAACTTGATTTTCTCTGGGGAACCATCTATTTTCCATTCTAAATTATTCCATTTTGGCTCAAATCCAAGCCAGACCTTCCAAAATTTTTCAATGGGCATTATTTCTGGTGATTTTTCTGAAACTGTTGGAAAATGGAAGCTCTCATTCTGGCAGGATAGCTGATCTAGGAGGATGAAAGCCTGGCCATAATTCCACCACACACAGAGATAATTCCTAAGAAAGAAGCCAATACAGAAACAAGCAGAAATGAGAGACAGAAAGAGACAGGTTTCTGACATCATTTGGACATATTGATTCATCTATGCCTGAAGCCAGTTTGTGTTTTGCTCTAATAAATTACTTGTGCTTAGGTCAATTTAAGTAGGGTTTCTCTACTTGTTAATGAAAAAATTCTGGCTATTTCATATCATCTTTCATAGTGTGACTATAGAAAATTCAATGACTTAGAGAAAGCAGCTCTGGGTTTTAGGTAACAATAGATACATTGAGATATACCAGCCTAACAGTGGAAAAAATCCTGCCTTGCTAACTATGGCATTCTTTGTGCTGGAATTGGCGTAGGATGATGTTAGACTTCCAGATACACAAGACAGATACCTATTTCTGTGGCAAGGGAAAAGCCTCTCTGGGCTCTCAAACTATCCCATTTTTTTGCTAGTCTTTGACGTCTTAAAAATATTGACATTCATAATTAGAGAAAATGTTCGATGTATAGAGATAGTATACTACGTGAAACCCGTACTGGTATATACATGACAAATATAATGTCATACTACTTTACAGTTTGTATAATACTCTTTCATATATATCCTCTGTATAAACCGTCTCAGTAACTGGTGAGGTAGACCTTACCTAGTTTTCATAGATTAAGAATCGAAGAAGCAAAGTAACTTTAAGTTTACACGGCTTATACAATCTCTGCTTTTTCACAATTTGTTAAGAGGTTCCCCCCAAACCCCCAATATGAGCAATCTGACACAAGTCTGACTTCCGGAATAGGAGAGAAGTTTTGGGCAATGAGTTCTTGGTTGCGTAGAAAATTGGTGTCTTGAAATGAGGAAAAATTCTTAGAAATAGGACTGAGTATTGTGAAAATGACATTATCAGTTTCTTAAACTTACATAGGGCCAGTCATGATCTGCATGGATCTCTGAGGATAGGAACTTAGGATATGTAGGGTCAGGATTTCTATGCCTATGCATATTCTCTTTTAAGTCCATCATTGTCTTCTTTCAGCTGCCAGGATAATTACTTCTTATGGTCACATGAGATTTATCTGTTTACATTTCTAGACTCTAGAAGTTTTGTCCTCCCAAATGCCTTATAATGCCTGTAGAAATAGTAAAAATCAAATTATTTCTGTTTGTTGAAGTTTTATGAGCTTCCCTGAGACAATTTTCTGCCGTATGCTCATCAATTCCAAAATCAGGATCTGCTTGTGACAGGGAGGTAACATAATGGCAGCAATGTTGTGCTTTTTATGTAGGATGATTTTAACAATCTGTGCCAGTCAACAGAGACAGCTCTCCTGGGAAAGAAGCTATTGGAGATTCCATTGCCTGAGAATTTGGACTAACAAATTTAGGTCTATACAAAATTGGTGTCAAGTATATGCAGATATTTTTATATCAATTACAGTATGGTAGCTACTGTTGATCCGTCTGCGTATGTACCTTATGGGTTTTTTCTTATCACACAAAGTTGGAACACAAGGGAGAGACATCAGTGAATAAAAATGTATCTTGCACTTTCTCTCTAATTTAGCATTTAAGAGCTTTACAATAATAGTTTGATCACTGTGTAAAGTGCAAATTCTAGGAGATATGAGTATGATCTATTTGTGCCTCATAATAAATATCGATGAAGTCTTACTGTCTTTCATTATTCTTAATAGAATTAAGATATACTTAGAAATATTAGGGTAGTTTGGAAAGCGGGAATTAAGTATTCTGTTTACACAGAAAGAAATTTATGATGACATTGGAAGTTTAGATTAGGGAAATGGGAAAAGTGTGGTGGTATCATTTTGTGTCCATGTATTCTGACATTAATCTTTATTATAAATCCTTATTATATACAGCTCTTAAAATAATGGGTTTTAGTGAGAATTATAATAATTTTTAAGGAAGAAAGAAGAAGTAAAATAAAAATAGAAGTTTACAGGCAGAAAGCCAGAATTTGAGATACATTATGTCACTCATTATCTGGATAAACTAGGCCAAAATAGTTTATTTTAAGGGGAACAATCTTACCTGCCAACTGATAGGGTACAAATAGATGATCTTTAAAATCATTCTAATGTGAATACTTTGTAGTTCTATGATTAAAGAGGGAAAACCCTACTTGTAAGTTATAGTTCATAAAGTACCCATGAGAATAAAGTGCAAGACCAAAGGAATGAGCGACTTTTTTCTTTTGTTGTTCATGAGGAAGCATTTGGGAATTCTCAACTCCCAAACCTGTTTCTAATAGTGAGCTGGATGCAAGTTGTCTATGTAGAGCAGTGAGAATATTTTGAACCACTAAGAGGCAAACCAAGTTTAAAGGCTAATAATAATGACCTAACTGTAGTTAGTGCTTAATATATGGTAAGCCTGTATGAGATGCTGAGCTCCATTATCATATTTCCTCTGACAACAAATCAGTGAGATGTAATGACTCTTATTACTCTCATGTACTTGGACAAACATATTTTAAAAATACACATTACTTTCTCCTTTCTTTTACCTTGTGATATTGTTTGGTTGTGTTCCCACCCAAATCTCATCTTGAATTGTAGTTTCTATAATATTCACGTGTCGTGGAAGGGACCCAGTGGAAGGTAATTTAATCATGGGAGTGGTTGCCCTCATGCTGTTCTCATGATAGTGAGTGAGTTCTCTTGAGATCTGATGGTTTTATAAGGGGCTTTTCCCCTTTGCTTACCACTTCTCCTTGCTGCTGCCACGTGAAGGATGTGTTTTCTTCCCCTTATGCCATTATTGTAAGTTTCCTGAGGGCTCCCCAGCTGTGCTGAACTGTGAGTCAATTAAATCTCTTTCCCTTATAAATTACTCAGTCTTGGGTATGTCTTTATTAGCAGTGTGAGAACAGAATAATACAGTAAATTAGTACTGCAGAGAGTGGGGTGCTGCTCTAAAGAGACATGAAAATGTGGAAGCGACTTTTGACCTGGGTAACAGGCAGACTTTGGAACAGTTAGGAGGGCTCAGAACAAGACAGGAAGATGTGGGAAAGTTGGAAACTCCCTAGAGACTTGTTGAGTGGCTTTGACCAAAATGCTGATAGTGATGTGGACAATGAAGTCCAGGCTGAAGTGGTCTCAGATGGAGATGAGGAACTTGTTGGGAATTGGAGTAGATGTCACCCTTGATATGCAAAGAGACTGGTAGCATTTTGCCACTGTCTTAGAGATCTGTGGAACTAGGAACTTGAGAGAGATGATTTGGCATATCTGGTGGAAGAAATTTGTGAGCTGCAAAGCATTCAAGAAGAAGCAAGATATAAAAGTCTGAAAAATTTGCAGTCTGATGATGTGATAGAAAATATTTTTTCTATCTGTTATCTTTTTGGGGAGAAATTCAAGCCTGCTGCAGAAATTTGCATAAGTAATTAGGAGCCAAATGTTAATCACCAAGACAATGGGGAAGATGTCACCAGGGCATGTCAGAGACATTCACAGCAGCCCCTTCCATCACAGGCCTGTAGACCTAAAAGGGACAAATGGTTTTATGGGCCAGGCCCAGGCTCCCCCTGTTCTAATGCAGCCTCCAGACATGGTGCCCTGCATCCCAGTTTTTTCAGCTCCAGCCATGGCTAAAATGGGCTAATGTACAGCTTAGGCCATTGCTTCAGAGGGCACAAGCCCCAAGCCTTGGTGGTGTACATGTGGCATTGATATTGTGGGTGCATGGAGTCAATAACTGAGGGAGAACCTCTGCCTAGATTTCAGAGGATGTATGGAAATGCCTGAATGTCCAGGCAGAAGTTTGCTGCAGGGGTAGAGCCCTCATGGAGAACCTCTGCTAGGGCAGTGCAGAAGGGAAGTGTGGTATCGGAGCCCCCACATGGAGACCCCACTGGGGCACTCACTGCCCTAGTGGAGCTGTGAGAAGACAGCCACCATCCTCCAGACCTCAGAATGGTAGATCCACCAATACCTTGCACCATGCACCTATAAAAGCTGCAGATACTTAACACCAGTCAATGAAAGCAGCCAGGAGCGGGGGTTGTACCCTGCAAAGCCACAAGGCTAGAGCTGCCCAAGGCAGTGGGAGCCCACCTCGTGCATCAACATGACCTGGATGTGAGACATGGAGTCAAAGGAGATCATTTTGGAGCTTTAAGATTTGACTCCCCACTGGATTTCAGACTTGGATGGGGCCTGTAGTCCCTTTGTTTTGGCCAATTTCCCCCATTTAGAATGGGTCTATTTACCCAATGCATGTACCGCCATTGTATCTAGGAAGTGACTAACTTGCTTTTAATTTTACAGGCTCATAGTTGAAAGCAACTTGCCTTATCTCAGCTAAGACTATGGACTTAGATTTTTGTTTAATGCTGAAATGAACTAAGAAATTAGGGAACTGTTGGAAAGGGCATGACTGTGTTTTGAAATGTGAGGATGTGAGATCTTGGAGCAGCCAGGGACAGAATGATATGGCTGTGTTCCCATCCAAATCTCATTTTGAATTGTAATCCTCATGATCCTAACATGTCATGGGAGGAACCCAGTGGAAGGTAATTTAATCATGGAGGCAGTTACCATCATGCTATTCTTGTGATACTGAGTGCATTCTCATGAGATCTGATGGTTTTATAAGGGGATTTTCCCCTTTGCTTGCCACTTCTCCTTGCTGTCGCCATGTGAAGAAGGACATGTTTTCTTCCCCTTCTGCCATCATTGTAAGTTTCCTGAGGCCTCCCCAGCTGGGCTGAACTGTGAGTCAATTAAACCTCTTTTCTTTATAAATTATCCCATCTCCAGTATGTCTTTATTAGCAGTGTGAGAATGAATTAATACACCTTGTAAGGAGATAAGTTTCTATTTTGTTGTTGTTGTTGTTGTTGTTGTTTTGTTTCAGTTAGGCATTATCCAGCTTAAAATTGAAAAAAAAAACTAAAAACAAGAACGGTGGTAGGTTAAGATGCATTAGAAAGGCCATTTTTTTTGCACAAGATGGCTGTTTATGCTCAGATGCACTCTTACTTCAAACTCATAGCAATGGTAGATAAAATCTAAGAATAAAAAGACAAAACATAACAGCCCCAAATCAAAATAAACACCTACGTGGACTCGAAACAGAACAGACTCACAAAGTGCTGAGTAGGCAGAAACTTTACACTTGGTGGATATGGGTTCAGAAGAAGGGTGAGTCTGGAAACCAACTCTTTGGGGTAAGGAACACTAAAAAGTACTTTTTGTAAGACTACCAACTAGAACAGGTGTCATCGGTAAAAGTCAGAGGTTGAGTGGAAATCTGTAGAAATGGTGACTTTAAAAACTTGTTAACATGTTTTCTAGGGCTACAGATTTATAGATAGTTATGGACCTAAGGATGTGGGAGGACAAAGATGTAGCTCTGCATCTAGGTACAAATTGTGGCCCTCCTTTTGTAATCCCCAGCAACTGGATCTGAGATATGCTGTAGAATATTGTGGAAAAAGAAATCTAGAATGTCATTGTAAGATAAAACCACAAAACTAATCTACAGGGGCATATGATAGGAGAGTAAAGCAAAAAACGTCAAAAACAATTGAAAAGGCATTACAAATTAAAAATGAGGCTGCAACTCCAAATTCCAAAGTGCGTAAATATATCTAATGATAAAAGTTACCAACAAAATAGACAACCAGTACGTAAATTCATTCCCGATGAAAGTAATTTTATAGAAAAGACAGCAAAAAGTTAAAATAAGTATGTTTAGAATACTCACAAAGATAAATGAAATTTGAATTTTATTTGCTAGAAAAATAAAGATGCAAAACAAGCAAAAATCAGACAAGAATATGGATACACATGTGTGTATAACACACATACAAACACATATGCATGTATACATACATGCATGCCATTTATACATATATACATATGTTTGTGTGTATCTATATTCATATTTCTATCTATGTCTATACATATCTAGACATCTTCAGAATGAAATTATTCACATTTAGAACCTGAAGAAATAAATAAAAAGTAAACTCTAAACTAGACACCATTAAAAAAAGAATTAGTGGAACAAAGGATAGTTCTCAGCCAGGATGCGAGTTAAGGCAAGAACAAGACAAAATGTACACAAGTTTTAAGAAACATAGGAGATAGATGAAGAGGCAAAGTCTGGCAAAAAAAGATGCAGAAAATAGAAGTAAGGTTAGAGAAGTAACATTTGAGGAGATAACAGCAAACAGTTTTTCAGAATGGAAGAAACACAAGAAACTTCATATAAAAAAACACTTTGAATAGTTTGCAAAATAAAAAAAAATAAACCCACAACTCGAAAAATCATTCCAAAATTACAAATTATGACAGAAAACTTTAATGACTACAATTATCTCCCAGAAAGAAAGACATTTCTTACAAAGAAGTAGCATTTATATTAATACTAGGCATTTCTTCAACAACTGTAAAAACTAGAAAGAAAATCACTATTTTTTAAGTGCTGAAGGAAGATAATTGCCAAGTTAGAATTTTTTTCCCAACTAAGTTATTTTTTTTAAAATAAGCTCAAAGCAAAAAAAAAAAAAAAAAAAAAAAAAAAAAAAAAAAAAAAAAAAAAAAAAAATCCAAGGGAAAAGGTATCATAGTTTTAAGCTTATAAAGACTGACTTTTTATACTCCAGGTAGTCACTAAACAATTATTAAAGGATGGTATTAATAATATTATTTTTGTCAAAACTTAAAAAGTTAAAATGCTAAATTCTAAGTAACTAAAAGTTATATTGTAATAATGAAAATGTTAAATGTAATCAGTAAATACTAATTTATTAAAGATCATCATATTGGCTTTTTAGAATTCACTAATGTGTTGTCTATAAATGACACTTCTATAAATAAATCACACCAAAATATTGAAACCTTGATAAGTAAAAAGATGTTATGTTATTTCTTACTGTCAGCTCATGTATCAGATAAAATAGAATCTAATTTAATCAAGATGTGCCCCATATTATAATTTAAAACAAGATGTAGCCATCATGAACTTGGATGCACTTAAAAACATAGCCTTAAAATATATGAGCCCAAACTGTTAAAGTCATGAGACCAAAAAAATAGCTTATTTCTATCATATGTTAAAACATACCATAAAACTATAGCAATTTAAAAAGTGCTGGGCTACAAAAGTAGAATATTTGAATAGAATGGAGGACTTAATTAGATCATGCATATGCAGAAACTTGTTTTATTGAGCATGTGACATAGCAAAGTCATGGAATTTTGCTATTATAGACATATGTTTATGTTTCAATAAAAGATGTTGGGTGCAGTGGTTTTGGAAACAGAAAGAGTTCTTTAAAATACAATCTAATGTCTTAAAACAAAGGGAAACAATAAGTTTGATGGCATTAAGTAATTCTGATGAAAGAAGAATCAAATTTGAGAAGAAAGGGGTTTCTGAGGAAAGAAGCCTGGGCAGGGCTAGAGTTTTCCAATGGAGAAAGTGAAAGTTTATGGAGGCAGTTTTTTGGAGGAGCAGGAATTTGAGGAAAGAGGTGAAGAGAAAAATTCTTAAAGGTTTCCTTCTGTGTTATGTAATGTTACACCTTACTGCAGTAAATGCTTTGAGCTGAGACACCTGCATATGAAAAATGTGATAGAATTGCATTTCTATCAAAAATTTATTAGACCTAAAATATCTAAACATTAAGACTTTAAATCATTTTTATAGAATATCAAAATATTTTATGTAGAGTGAATAAAAACTTTTCACAATTTTCAAGTATACTAGTTTTAGTTAATAAAAGACAATTTTTTTTAAAGTTCTACTTTTATACATGTAGTAGAAAATTTGGGACTAATTACTTCAAGAGACTTTGTAAACTGAAAACCTAGAAAGATTATTTAAATAAAATATTGTCTAATATATTCACATTTTGTTCACAATTAATAAAAAAGGTAACACATATGGTGTCCCAACCTTCTTTCAATGTGGCAGTCAAAGATGAAACCCAGTATGGCAATTTTTTTCTGTCTAATGCTGTTCAGGAGATTCTAGGTAACTCATTTAATATTAATGTGTACAATCTATAAATATATCTGAGGTTTTATCTTTTGTGTATTGCTATTGCCACATAGAGCTTAATTTTCTTACACTCTTTTTTCTCTATAACACCTTAGTGTATGCGTGTGTGCAACCACACACTCAAGTGTTTACCTTGTGTTGTACAAGCTCTTTGTAAGTGCCTTGCTCTAATTTAGCTAATCTCTGAAAACTGCTAGAAGATAGTATACTGCTTGATAGTTGGGCCAGAATCTCAGTGAGACCAAGTGTCACCCATTGCTAGTCACAGTATGATCGTTGATCATAACTGAGGAGCTAAAGCAGGTCTGAACTCAGATACATCTGAGGTGTGAGTAACCTAGATCCTACCACACCACCCTGAAGTAGCCAGGGAATCACCGAAATTGAGAAAAAAGGAAAAGAAAGAGAAAAGCAATGAGAAGCAATGCATTTGGAAAAGAGAGAGCCACAAATAAGAAGGATTACATTGTGAAATTTTTAAAGGGAAATATATAATGGAATTAGAACTAGATTTTAGACCTAGATAAAAATTTGAAGAATGCAAAAATTGTCTTCAGTATGCTTCTAGCCTACTTAATTGTTTTTTTTCCCCCTCAATTGTATCCAAAACTTATTCCAGATAACCAGGCTCTCAAAATATTTCTGTCACCTAATAATTGCCTTCTACTCTCCACCTCACCCCAGGGAATATCCCATCCAGGCTTACCCTCTTAATTTATGAGTCATATTCTTATATTTCCCTGTGCCCCATAACCAAAAAACTGTCTTCTTTTTTATTGTTTCAAAGCCCTCTTAGACAATGGATTACATAATTGATTATGACCACAAGCAAACCAATTGGTTAACAAGGGGAGGCAAAGGTCATGTTGGCGAGCACACACTAGCAACTTGGGTGAATTAACTTCCTTTTTCTGGACTTACCTGTCTCATCTTTAAAACAATCATATCTGATGCAACTGAGTGTCAATCTGTACATGTAGTTGGGAAACATATTATATTTAATCCTTGTAACAACCTTATTGGATAGTTACAGATATTATCTACATTGTGAAGTGAGGAAACCGATGCTTAGTAAAATCAATATAGCTTGTCCAAGGTTGCAGAGCTTGTGACTAGCAGAACCATCTGCTTGTAAACCGTGGGCTTTTTTAAAAAAATTTTTTTTGAGACGGAGTCTTGCTCTGTTGCCCAGGCTGGAGTGCAGTGGCGCTATCTCAGCTCACTGCAAGCTCCGCCTCCCGGGTTCACGTCATTCTCCTGCCTCAGCCTCCCAAGTAGGTGGGACTACAGGCACCCACCACCACGCCCGGCTAATTTTTTTTTTTTTTTTTTTTTTTTAGTATTTTTAGTAGAGATGAGGTTTCACCGTGTTAGCCAGGATGGTCTCGATCTCCTGACCTCGTGATCCGCCCACCTTGGCCTCCCAAAGTGCTGGGATTACAGGCATGAGTCATCGTACCCAGCCAACCCTGGGCTCTTAACCATCACATTATACTCTATTTCCCAGTACCACAAGGCATTGGATTGGAACATTTCCTAATGTGTTTTGTGGATCAGTATGACAGCTGAAAAAGATGAATTTTAAATAATTTGGGGAAATATGAATTTAAAGAAAACCATCTTCTGAAATCCTTTACTATTGTTAATGTGATTATTACCACCAGAATGAAAACATTATACATAGCATTCTCTAAACTCATTATGACCACAGAATCTGCCATTTTCCCAAAATAATCTGTGGAGCTTGCATTCTATAGAAGTCACTTTATGAATTGCTGTGCCAGAAAACTAGTTTGTTCTAACCCTTTCATTTTATAGTCTATGATTTTTAAAGTGTTAGTGGGCCAAAGAAGCTTATTTTATCACACCTCCCAGATGGCAATTGCATGTTAGTAAGCATGTAAGAATTAAGTAATTATAACAGTCAGTGCAGCAAGGCCTTCAGATTTTAGAGTGGGTAGGACTTCTGATGTTCTTAAAAATCGCAGTAATTCAATTCATGGAAAGTTTATGGATAATAAGCTTTGTGAAAATGTTAAACTAGTCATAGCTGCAAAATATGAGGAAATACGAAACCTGATCCCTGTACTCAAAGAGTTACACTTGAGATTGCAGAGCTCAGGCATCTAAAATATGAATCCACCTCCTTATAAACAACACATATGATATAACTGGTGATTGAAAAGTTGAGTGGTACTCTGCCTATAAATAATTGCTTCTTTATTGCCCTTCATCCCTTTCTTTTTCCTAAAGAAAAATTGCAAGCATCATATTTAGCTGTTACAATAATCTACAATCTGTATGTTTTGAGTAGTGCTTTCTCTTGTTTTTTTACTTTTCTTTCAAATACTTCTGCTTTTAGAGTACAGATGATTGTATGCTGATAGCCTTTGCAAAAAGTTCTGTACTTGAATTTTCTTTTATCAGTTTATTTATATAGGTGATAATCGTGTAATTTACACATTTAGAGAACTGTACCCAAACAAAGAGAACAGATTTTAAGTAATGAATTTATTTTACCTAAGCTCATTTTCCCTTCTAAGCTTGAGTTTCATTCACTGCATGCAGTTGTCCCTCAAAATCTGTAGATGATTTGGTCCAGAACACCCTGGGGACACCAAATTCTGCACATACACTCAAATCTGGCAGTCAGCCCTGCAGAATGCATGAACACAAAATGTCAGCCCTCCATAGATGCATGTTTCGCATCCCACAAATACTGTATTTTCAATCCGTGTATGGTTATGGATGTGGAACACGGAGGTAGAGAGAGCTGACTGTATTATTGAAAAAGTCTGCATATAAGTGGACTTTCAAAGTTCAAACCCCTATTGTTTAATGGTCAACTGTAGTTGATTGGAAACTTTTCAGAAATTTTACTTTCCACACATATAAAAAAAGTAATCATTGACTACACCATTAGGAGCAACCATTTTTGGTCTTTTTCCTCCATGAAATAAAGTTCTAAGGCCTTTGTCAAGTATTCAAGTTTTTTTAAAATCTAGTTTCCAACTCCCTCTTCCATTCCCAAATTACTTCCCACAATTCACCTTCTCATGCTCTTATATTTGAGCTAAACTCAGTTACTTGCACTTCCTCATACAAAGACAATGACATCCAGTCAGGCTAAATGCTCTTTGCCTGTTTTCTAAATGATTTTTTGTTACCTTTCTAAAGGTTTGATAATTCTTAGTTGAAAATATTCACTATCTTGTCATCTGTAACCCTCTATGTCTTAAAAAATGTCCATTTTATAGTGGTCATACATTCTAATAAACTGAAACCCAACAGTCAAGTCCCAATTTACCCTTGCAACTTCTATAGCATTTAACCAAACCATTATGAATATAATGGATGCTATATAAATGATTTTGAATGTATTATGAACAGTAGGAAAAGCAAGTAAGCTTTGTGTGCCTTTGTCAGATGTAGCAATTTACTGGCGTCTTAAAGACACAAAGGACTGAAAAATGTTTATTTTTCGTTCATTGAAATTGGTAAATGACTCTAATAAAACTAGTGATCTTTTAAAATTATTCTAACAACTCTTTTCTTTCATCAGATATTAGATATAGAAATCATATTATGTGAAAATATTCACAATGGGGCTGGGAGGTATTCATAATATACAACTAAACATTTTAATGGGTCCATTTCCTAGAGCCTAGGTTATTAGCAGTTCTTTGATATTTTGTTTTACTCAGTACTTTTTAGTTTGTCTATTAGAAATTTCATACCTACTCTAAGTTATATGTACTTGTGCTTTCCAAAGCTACATTTTAATTAAACAGAATGGCAAAAAAAAAGATTTCATTGTTGCAATCCTTTAATGTTTTATGAAGAGAATAGTTTTTCTGATATATGAATTTCATTTCTTAAAGAATATTCCCCCAAAGAGAAAAATAAAATGTAAACTTGCATCTTTTCAATGCTTGCCAGGTAACATTCAGTCTACAATATATGCCTTCCAGAACTAATTAAGGAGGCACATTATTATCTACAAAAACAGAATAAAGCTTTGTGCAAGCATACACTAAATATATGGAAATTCTAGACCAGCTGTCAATTTCTAGGCTCCCTTTTTTCCTTTGAAGACTATTCATAAAATAGAGATAAACACATTCCCTGCCTGCAATATAGGCATACCTGCAAATGTTTAATGCATCAGGGCATTAGGGAGATTATTTTAATGGATTTTTACCAAATCATGTTTTGACAGTCAATTTAAAAACATTTAAGTTACCACTTTCACCTATGCTGAAATCCAGTGGGAAAAAGGAAAGCTCTCTTGTGAAATGGTGGAGGAAGCTGATGATAAAAGGCTCCATTCAACGTAAAAAACTCATTAAAAGAAACATGAGTTATTCAAGCTGCCGTGATTGAGAAAATACACTTTCCTGTGTAGGTGCCCCATTCCAAGTCATGTACATAGAGGGAAGCTGCTTCTACAAAACTCACATTGAATTTGCCTGATAACCAGTGAACTCTTGAACCACTGTACTATGATTGTGCATAAAAACAGTAAATAGAAAATATTTTTTTCTCTTTTACTGATGAAATGAAGCATGGCTCTTTTTTGAAAAAGTTCTAAGATTCAGGAATAATATTCTTGCTTTGTCTGTTTGCTAACCTGAGGTAAAAGTCATAGGACCTTTTTAAGTTGTTTCCGTTTATTATACTGCATAGTATATGCAGTATACTAAGGTTCAGATAGATGTCTGTTTGTTTCTGTATTGTGAACAGTGACTAATTATTAGGAAGAGGGTATTGACACATGAAAGAAGAAAAACAGTTATTTTAGAATGCTACTTCCTTGGCAGGCTGACTCTGAAAAACCAATAAAGCTGAGAACAAAGTGAAATGCCATGAAAAACTATAGGAATAAAACAATTAAGCTGTTTCCTCCTTAGGATAGTAAGGCTTTTAAAAATATATCAGAGCGCCTTACAAATATTAACCAATGGCTCTTTGCCTTTGAATAAAGTAGCATTATTAACCTTATAATTAATTTGATGAAGAACTGAAGGAGGTGTTGAAATAATTGTACATGGGAGACTATCCAGGCTGCTGGCCCAGTTATAAATTAGGTCTTGAACTCAACCTGTCCCTTATTGCCAGCTTTGGAATTGCACACATTTATGAGCATGTGTGCATGTATACTTACATTAAGTTTTCTTAATGACCAATATAGGTAGGCTAAGGGATAATCACAATGTACAACAATAAAATAATTCCTAGCTAAAATGTTTTAATATTCCTCTATAATACTGATAAATATCTACCAGGATAACTTGTTTATATTTGTTTATAAATATGAAAATAATAATAATAATATATTGTGCTCATTCATTGAGTTCTCGATATGAGCCACCTTCTATGTTAAATGCTTTAAGTATATTATTTCATTTAATTGATTCAATAATCTAGGAGATTGGCATAATTATTTTTATTTTACAGAAGAAGAAAGAGAGACTTAGATCTAAAATTTGTCCAAGGTAATGCTTTTAGTGAGTAGCAGAAGTGAGATTCAGGCTTGGGATTACCTGACTTCAGAGCCTTTTAACTTAACCATTAATACCTACGTGCGGTTTTCTAAAATGGACTCCTAATTTTTTTGTTTGTTTTAGAAATTACACTGCTTGTCAGGAAAAACTCATTACCATTCTCTTATCTTCATAGTACTAATCAGTATTATTTAGGTAACAGTAAAACAGAAAAAATAAACATCAATTATATTCTTGCTCTGCTTATGGGTATATTTTTCAGATTATTTCTCCTGTGCTTATTTACTTACAGTAGTATCTATAGCTATTAAGCTTAAATAGCACTCTACACATGCTTCTCCATTCCATTTCAAATGTGGGCTACAAATAGATCTGCTAAAATAGATTTGCTAAACTTGTTCTCTGGGTCTAGGCTCTTCTTACATGCTAAGATCTCTTCAGAACCTGCCTGTGGCAAGCCTCACTGTCAGCTATTCGCAATTCAATTCACTCATTTTTCCTGCTAGCAGGACCCAGAATTTGTTCAGGTTATTTTGTTCAGAATATTTCACTGAATGGCCATGATCAAATTCTGACAGCTATCATGTGGTCTTTGACAGTTTCCTTATTATCTGTTTTGGTCTCCATTCACTGTTAACAACACTAAGGCCTCTGCTTCCTGTGGAAGGCACTGGATCCCACCCCCACTGCTCTGTATTTAGGGTTCTCTGTGCAGCACTATGCCTCCTTCTGCAGAAGTATGATTAAGGATTGGTTATTGCCATTTTGTTATTTTACAGCCTGCCATGTACCAAAACTGTGTTTCTAGGCATGCTGAAATGAACAGAATGCCTTCCCCCTAAACAGAAATATGTTTTAGTATTTTGGTGGAATGGGCAACTCCAGGCACTGGCACAGGCCCTGGCCCTGTGTGAGGCTGTGGCTAGACAAGGTGTACTGCAAGCAACTTCCACTGTGAACTCCGGGGAATTCAGTGGTGCTCAGAAACTTGGAAAAGTCAGGAAAACCGCAGAGCCCCAAAGAGGGTGTCACAGCCTTGGCTTGGGAAACCTGTAGGTCTGAGCTCCCCAAAGGGTGGCAGCTCAACTCTCCTTCTCATCACTTACAACATGGCGAGTGGGAGATGTGTTTCAGCCCTGTTTGTGTTACAGCTCTTTTAGTCCTGCCATTGGGTGGGTCTCAAATTCTTGTCTTGTGTTCAGGAAGAATGAGGTATGCAGACAACTGAAGGGTGAGCAAGACAAAGAGGCGCTTTATTGAACAACAATACAGCTCTCAGGAGACCCAAAGTGGATAGCTCCTATCTGCAGGCAGGTTGTCCTGACATCTGCTGGAGTCTGGCTGAGTTCAGGGTTTTTATGGGCTTCAGAAGGGAGAAAGTGCATGCTGATTGGTCCATGGGCAGCCATGGGCAAGCCTGGAAAAGCACCATAATTTCTCACTCTTGGCCACGGACTCCACCCAGAGCTGACAACCTGGTAGGCATGCTTAAGATTGTCCCTGGCTTGAAGGTGGGGCTTCACCTGGGACCTGCCCCCTTCCAACCAGGAGCCTGTCAGCCTCCTGCTGTCATCAACATGCTGTCCATGGTGCCCACAGTGCCAGGCTGTTTGAGCTGAGTGGCACCTTCATGTCTGCACCAAGCTGCCCTCAGCCCTCCTTGGCCTCCCTCCTGAGCTTGTCAGCACCCAAAACCTGGAGTGGGTCTAGGAAACAGGGGGGTGGTGTGTCAGCACTGCTCCAAGAGCATGTGCATACCTGGCTCAGTTGTGTGACAGTGCCCAAGCTTGGCCTTAACTTTGCTCCAAAATTGGAGTGGGTGCCAGAAGCGGGGAGAGGCCAGGCAGTGGGAGCAGGCACTTCCAAGCTTGAGGGGGCAGGGTGGCTTCCTGGAACCCTGAAAGTGCAGGGATGCCCAGGTCTGTGACCACGGCTGGGCAGCTGCAGCTGTGCCCAGGAGGGCAAGTGTCCTGCCCTGCCAACTCAGAAGGGGGTAGGGCTCCAACCAGCTCTTTACAGTGCATAGCTCTGGACATGCCTCCCCCACTGCAGCCAGTGTCTTTGCAATGGCAACTCTAGACAGGCCACTGCAGACACCAATCCCACCTTTGAAGAGGTACACCTAACTGCCATTAGGATGAGGACAATGACTGCTCTTCACTGCTTCATGCTGACAGGGGACATTGTTTTGGGGAAAACAGCAATCAAATCTCTCTCAGAGGCCTATCTAAGGGTCCCCAGTAAAAAGGGGGCCAACATCTGAGGCTCCAGTTGGATGACAGCTTGGACTTTGATGGCCTCTATGCAAGAAGAAACAATTTTTACAAGGAGGTTAAATATATGAAGAAAAAAATTTAGTGCCAAAGATAACAGAAGTAAAATAGACTAATCATTCTGAAAACAATGTTGTGGCTATTGCTGTTTCACGCTGGTGAAAGAAATTATATCTTATATGGGGCAGTCAAACTTTTAAAGAGAAATAACTATTTAGGGGAGTAGATAATCTCTTGAGAGTTCAGGATTAAGGGGTCCTTGACAAAAATGCCTTATGGTGAGGAACAGAACAAAGGCGAGAACACTAAGCATAGGGTATCCATAGAGGGTTAACTATTAGCACTTACCTTTTGTGATTTTTTTTGCTTAAAGTCCCTGATTTCTTCACTCTGGTACTTCAGGTGCTCTCCTGGGTCAACAGAGATAATTTTATCAGTTTTCTAGGTCTTTACTTGAGTATAATTAATCCAAGAATGTGTTTCAGGGACCTTTACTGCCATAAGAGTAGAAAGAAGTATAGTGTAAAGTCCCTCCCATTCCAGGCCTGGAGAGGGAGAAAAGGAAGAAAGTGCCTTTACCAGTACTAAGTCCCCTGGGTTGAATAGAGGTGGCTCCATTTCATGGGATTGGGCCTCCCATAGTTGTTTCAGTTCATGTTGGAAATGGGCCAAGTAAGTTATATGTTAATTAAATCAGAGATTTTTTTGGTCTAGCAAGAAATCATTGTTGAGACAAGGCCATCCATAAATCATTTTGAAGCGACTTAAATCCAGCTGTTTAGAGGTGTTTCTAACATGTAATAGGGTTATGGGGAGAAGAGTAATCCAGGGGAGATGAGTCTCTTGAGACAGTTTTCTGAGGTGACTTTTGATAATATTATTTGTCTTTTCTACCTTTCCTGAGGAATGTGGTGTCCAAGCACAATAAAGATGATGTTGTATACCTAGTGCCTTTGAGACCCCTTTGGTGACAGCTGCCTTGAGCAAGGGGGCATTATCATTCTGGATGTACTTAGGAAGTCCAAAATAAGGAATTATTTTATTAATCAGTACTTTTATCACCTCAGAGGCTTTGTCCGTTCAACATGGAAAAGCTTCTACCCAGTTAGTGAAGGATCTACCCATACTAGGAGGTGCTGGATGCCCCTTGTCTTTGGCAGATGGATGAAATGCATCTGTCAGTCTTCCCCTAGGTTGTCTTTTGTTCTTTGGGTTTCAGTGGGGAGAAGCCATCTATTGAGGGGATTATTTTTATGGCATGTCTCACAAGCATTAATGACTTATTTGCCCATGTTTAGCAGATTTTTACCTGAGAACAACCTCTGGGCCACTTGATAGGTTTTATCCTTACCTAAATGGAAGGCTTGGTGGAGGATTTTAAGAACATTCCATTGGCTGAAAGCTGGTAGATGAAGCTTTTCATCCTCCAGTTGAAGCCTCTTGACCTATGCAAATGGGTTCCTTCAAGGGGAAAGAAAACTCTCAGTTGTTACATCCTCCTTGCTTCTAAGAATAGACAGACACCACATTGTTCTGATTTACACTCCTGATGACTAAGCCAAATGCTTATTTTACCCAGTAATATTATTTCTGTGGTTTCCAACGACACCCTTAACATTGTATGTAAAGAAGAGGATAGAAAATGGCAGCCTTGAAAGAAAAAAATGAAGAGCAATTGGAAAGACTGGGTGTTCTATTGTGGTCAGGATGTACAGTTAGTTGAGGGGCCTTTAGATAACACTGAGGTGTAAACTTGGCCAGACACCCTCAGTTGCCCCAGGACCTCCTTCTGATCCCACGTGATGGCTAGGCCTCCATGAAGGAAAACTGAATTGGAACAAAGCCAACATTCCCAATACCCAAGTGTGATGGAGAATTGGCATTGTCCTCACCAGCAAACCTATCCTCTGTGTCTTAAGTCCAGCAGCCACTCTAGTCACTTTTAACTGGACAGAGGCCCATGTTTTTCTTTCATTTTGGCTATTGTGGAGTTTAGGGACTTTGAAAAAAGAACAGAAAGCAGCAAGTCCACTTTTACTCACACTTTTGCCGATCCCAGATGAACCCATAAAAAATGTCACAGGATCCCTGGGGTGTTGCTCTTCCAGCTAGAAGCCACTGTGGCTGGTGGTGCCTTCACCTAAGTTTTGCTTGGGCCCACTGGACTCATTCTGCCCACTCGGCCTGTCAGGCTGTTCTTGATTCGTGCTGCTAGCCCGGATCCCACACCTGCCAACAGTGCGATGAGGGATGTGTGAGTTAGCAAGCACGGGGTCCAACCACTGTGCACAGCCAGGAACGCCAGCTGCTGCAACGGGGTGGGCAGTACCAGGCACCAGTACAGGTGCCGGCTCTGTGTGAGGCTGCAGCTTGACCAGGCATATCACAAGCGGCTTCCACTGTGGGCTCCAGGGAACAAGGTGGTGCCTGGAAGCTGGGAGATGCCAGGAACTGCAGAGCCTCCAAGAGGATATCACTGTCCTGGCTCAGGAAGCCATTAGGTCTGCAGTCCCCAAAGGGCTGCAGCTCTTCTCTCCTTCTCACTGTTTGCTGTTGAGTGACAGTACAGCTCTAAGGAGACCCTAAGTCAGTAGTCCTATTCTGGCCAGCTTCATGAAGCATGTTGTTCCTGCAGTGCTTCCCCCACTGCAGCCAGTGTCCTCGCAGTGGTCACTTCAGATGGGCCACTGCTGCAATCAAAATGTCTATTCAGATCCTTCATCATTTTTTGTCCTCAGATTATTATTTTTTTCCTATTGAGTTGTCTGAGTTACTTATATTCTGGTTACTGTTCATTGCTCACAATGTGGCCAGTGGGTGGGTGTGCTTCAGTCTTGTTTGTGTTACAGCTCTTTTAGTTCTGCCATTTGGCAGGTCCCAAGTTCTTGTCCCACATCCAGGAAAAATGAAGTATGCAGACAACTTGAAGGTAAGATGAAGAGGTGCTTTATTGATCAACATTACAGCTCTCAGGAGGCCCTAGGTCAGTAGCTTCTATCCACAGGCAGGTTGCCTGACATCTGCAGCCCTCAGCAGAGAGGAGACCCGGAGTGGGTAGCTCCTATTCACAGGCAGGTAATCCCGATGTCTGCCCAAGTCTGGTTGAGGCCAGGGATTTTATGAGCTTCAGAAGGGATAAAGTGCATATTGATTGGTTCCTGGGAGGCCATGGGCGGCCCTGGAAAAAGCATCATAAGTTCTCACTCCGGGCCACAGACTCTACCAGGAACTTATAGCCTAGCCCCATGCTTCAGGCTGTCCCCGGTTTGGTGGTGCGGCATCATTGGGTATACACCCCTATATGCCCAGGAGCCTGTCTGCCTCCTGCCATTATCAACCTGCCATCCACGGTGCTCATGGCACCCCGGCTGCTTGTGCTGAGTGGCACCTGCAGGCCCATGCTGAGTTGCCTTTAGTCCCCACTCAGCTTCCCTCCCTTGCTCATTGGTGCCCAAAGTCCAGAAGATTCTGAAATGGCAGGGGTCTGGCGTGTCAGTGCTGCCCTGAGCATGCACACACCCAGCCAGGTTGCAACAGCATCCAGGCTCATCCTCAATTTTACTCCAAAATTGGAGCAGGCACTGGGAGCAGGGAGGGGCCAGGCAGCAGAAGCAGGCACCTCCAACCCTGTGGGGGTAGGGGGCTTCCTAGGCCCCTGAGATCACAGAGATGCCCAGGTCCACAGTCATAGACAGGTGGTTGCAGCTGTGTCCAGGAAGGCAGGGCTCCCACCCCACAACTCAGAAGCAGGTGGGGCTTCTGCCTGATTCCAGTTTCTGTCAGCTCCATGGAGCATGTCGCTACTGCAGTGCCTTCCTGCTGCAGCCAGTGTCTTCACAGAGGCCATTCCAGATGGACCACTGCAGCCATCAAAATGTCTATTCAGGTCCTTCATGATTTTTTTGTCATCAGATTATTTTTCTTCCTGTTGAGTAGTTTGTATTACTTATATATTCTGGTTACTAATCCCTGGTTAGATGGATAGTTTGCAAATATTTTCTTCCATTTGGTAGTCTGTCTTTATATTTTGTTGAATGTTTCCTGTGCAGGAGCTTTTTACCTTGTAAATTCCATCTGTTTATTTTTGCTTTTGTTGGCTGTGCTTCTGAGGTCTTACTCCAAAAATTGTTGCCAAGACCAATGTCCTATAGCATTTCCCCAATGTTTTCTTTCAGTAGTTTCACAGTTTTAGGTCTTACATTTCTATCTTTAAAATTTTTTGGTTGATTTTTGTATATAGTCAGAGATGAGGATCCAATTTTATTATTTTGCCTATGGATACCCAGTTTTTGAAGCATCATTTTATAAATAATCTGTCTTTTCCTGCACCAAGAACATACAAAACAATGAGTTAGGAACAAGTATGGATTTATTGCTGGATTCTCTATTCTGTTCCATTGATCAAAATATCTCTTTTTATGTCAGTAGCACGCTGCTTTAGTTACTATAGCTTTGTGGAATATTTATCTCTTTCAATTTTTTTCATTAACATTTCAGTTTTTCTTATAGCAATTTTCACTTATTTGGTTAAATTTATGCAAGTTTTTTTGTAGCTATTATAAATGGGATTTCTTTTTAATATTGATCACTGTTAGTTTAGAGAAACATTACTAATTTTTGTATGTTGATGGTTTGTATCCTGCTACTTTACTAAATTCATTTTCTGGTTCTAAGAATTTTGTGGTGAAATCTAGTTTATTCTAAATATAAGATCATGACATCTGCAAATAAGGATACTTGGACATCTTCCTTTCCCATGTGGATACCTTTTATTTTTTCATCTAATTTCTCTCAGTAGGACTTCCAGAACTATGTTAAATAGAAGTGGTGAAAATGAGAATCCTGATTTTGTTCCAGAGCTTAGTGAAAAATATTTTAATTTTTTCCTGCTTAGTATGATATTAGCCATGGTTTTGTCATATATAGCCTTTACTGTGTTAAGGTATGTTTTTTATATACCCAAATTTTTGAGTTTTCATCATGATGGGATGTTAAATTCTACTGAATGCTTTTTTAGCCTCTATTGAAATGATCATATGGCTTTATCCTCAATTCTGTTGAACTGTCACAATTATTGACTTAATATGTTGAATCATTTTTACATCCCTGAGATAAATCTTACTTGATTATAATAAGTGATTTTTTAATGTGTTGTTGAATTCAGTTTGCTAGTAATGTGTTGAGTAATTTTGCATCTATGTTCATCAGGGATATTTCTTTCTTTGTTGTGTCGTTATTTGCTTTCGATACCAAGATAGTGCTGACCTTGTGTAATGAGATTGGAATTATATTCTCTTATTTAATTTTTTGAAATTGTTTGAGTAGAATTAATATTATTTCTTCTTTAAATGTTTAATAAAATTCAGCAGTGAAGACATTTGGTCCTGGGCTTTTATTTGACAGATTTTTTAAATTACAGCTTTGATCTCATTGCTTATTATTGGTCTATTTAGATTTTCTATTAACTTAAGATTCTATCTTGGTAGGCTGTATGTATCCAGGAATTTATCTATTTATTCTAGGTTTTCCAATTCCTTGGCATATGGTTGCTCATGTTAGGCATATGGTTGCTCATATTAGTCTCTACAAAAATACCAAATGATCCCTTTCTATTTCTGTATCAGTTGTAATGTTTCCTTTTTTCTCACTGATTTTATTTGGGTCTTATTTTTCTTGTCGATTTTATCAGTTTATTCATCAATTTTGTTTACCTTTAAAAAAAATAACTGCTCAGGCATGGTGGCTCACGCCTGAAATCTCAACACTTTGGGAGGTCAAGGTGGGTGGATCACTTGAAGTCAGGAGTTTGAGACAAGCCTGGCCAAATGGTGAAACCCTGTCTCTACTAAAAAGTACAAAAATTAGCTGATGTGGTGGTGTACCTGTAGTCCCAGCTACTCAGGAGACTGAGGCAGGAGAATTGCTTCAACCTGGGAGGCAGAGGTTACAGTGAACTGCTATTGGGCCTTTGCACTCCAATCTGGGCAACAGAGCGAGACTCCATCTCTCTGTTTCTCTCACACACACATAAAACTCTTTTTATTTTATTGGATTTTGAATTTTTGTCTCAATTTAATTTATTTATGTTCTGATTTTTATTATTTATTTTCTTCTACTAATTTCGGGCTTGGTTTATTCTTGCTTTTCTATCGCTATGAGTTGCATCAGTAGGTTATTTTTAGTCTTTCTGTTTTTTTGATGTAGGCATTTTCTGCTATAAACTTCCTTCTTAGCACTGCTTTTGCTATATTCCATGTGTTCTGATACATTGTGTTTTTATTTTCATTAGTTTAAAGAATGTTTTAATTTTCTTCTTAATATCTTCATTGGCCCATTTTTCATTTAGGAGCATGTTATTTAATTTCCATGCATTTTTACAGTCTCATGAGGACATTAAGGTTGATGTGGCTTTCTGGCCCAAATGTACCTGGGGAAGTCCCAGGGAGGCTACTGGGGCTTTACAAGAATGCTGGCCAGAGACTTGAGTCCAGAATACTGTCCCAGTTGCCCTGATGATTCTTTCTTTCAGCAGCTCCCTCAATGTGCATCATTCAGCAGGTGCCTGAACAAGTGGGTAGTTTCTCAACTACAACAGGAGGGGCTAGAGATGAGACTGGTCACCCGAGGATCTGCTGCTAGACATAGGTTGGAGAGCCTGGTCACAGCTCAGAGATATGTGCATTGTCCAACAATTTTCTGCACAGATAAGATAGTTCATTGATTGCATCAGGAGGAGCTGGAACAGAAACTGGACCCCCTTGGAATCTGCTATAGGACAGATACTGGAATGTCCATCTCATTGGCTCAGATAGGCATGCATCTCCCAGCAAGCCTTAGCACAGATGGGACAGTTCCCAGAGTGCACTGGGAGGTGCCAGAGTGGAGACCTGGCCCCCTCTGGATCTGCCGTGGAGCAGAGGCTAGAGAGCCCAGTCTCACTGGCTCAAAATGATGCATGTCTTTCAGCAAGTTTCTGCACAGACAGGATAATCCCTGATTGTAGTGGGAAGTGCCAAAGCTGAGACTGGGTCTCCTAAAGATCTCCTGTGGGACAGAGGCTGGAGAGCCTATCTTCTTGGCTCATAGAAGTATGTACCTCCCAGAGGTCTCAGCATGGATGGGATAGTTCTCCGACTGCAATAGTAGGGCTGGAGCTGAGGCTGGGGAATGGTGTCTGGGGAGCATGGTCTCATTGGTTCAGAGTAGCACATGTCTCCCAGGAGAACCCTGCCCAGATGGGTTAGTTCCTCAGCTGCATCAGGATTTGCTGGAGCTGAGGCTAGTCACCCATAGGATCTGCTGTGGGGCAGAGGCTGAAGAACCCAGCCTTGTTGGCTCAGAGGAGATAGCATCTCCCAGCAAGTTCCTGGGCAGACAAGATAGTTCCCTGTCTTCAGTAGAAGGGGACAGAGAGGAGACTGGGTCCCCATGGAATCTGCTATGGGACAGAGGTAGGCGAGCCCTTCAGGGAGGCTCTGACTCCTGGCCTGTAAGATACAAGTGAGGCTTCCTCTGTGTCCTTGCATGAGCATCTCTAAGCTGACACCTCAGCTGAGGAGAGCTAGAGCTAAACCCCAGAGGAAGCTTCAGGTTCACTGCTGAGACTAATGTCAGTGAACAAATGAGCCTTTCCTCCAAGGCACTAGTGTGCATGATTCCTTTTGCACCCCTTGACAGATGGCTTTGAATGCAGTCTCAAGGCCAAATGGAGCTATAGCAAACCCCCTTGGAGAACTGGGCCATTTCTGGGCTTGAACCCGGGAGCAAGCTTCATGGATCAGCCACCTGGTTGTCTGCACTCTCAAAATGACCTTCCTAGGTGTTGGGCTCCATTGAGATTTTTCAAAAACTTCTATTAAATCCTGAGGCTCTTGCAGAGAGACTTGACTGTGAATGGGTGCAGGTCTTATTTGGTGGATATAAGCAGGATACTGTCTATTCTGACATTTTGATGACATTCCTACCTGGTTTCTTCCATTGATCTTAATACTAATAAAATTTTTCTTCTTATTATTACATAATAATAATACTATTATTAACTTCATGTATTAATTTAAATGGGTACCTGCCATGCATGGAAGTTAGGTCTATTGTTTGAGATAGCTCATATAGCTTCCTAGAGCTAAAACTTTGAAGTTAACAATAGCTTGTTCTATTGAGGAGCTCACAAACTAAAACAAAGTTGTCAATTTTCAAAAATAAGAAACATTATAATGTCCATACAACTTGATTCTTGCGTATTTTAAAAATATTTTTCTATGTTGAGTTACTCAGTAAAAATACCTAAAATTGTCCGTTGTAACTATAAATTATAATATTAAAGTATATTATTCTTTTGGTAGATTTTCAAAATTATACCTTAATTTCTCTTTCATAAGGATTTTTCAGTGAATTTGATGTTAGGAACAGAGGTTTACATAAGGTGGCAGATAAAATAAGGGAGTATTGTATTTGTTGTTTTTCTCACCAGATTCAAATGCACAAGGGTAAACCTCACAATTTGCTAGGTGCAAATCACAAAAACAAAGGTGTCAAAAGTGAATTCATAGAAGCAAATCTATTAACCTTTTTAAATGGCAAATTTAGATAGATTACAAAACTGTTTCTCTTATTCATGTGTTAGATCTTCTGGGGCCAGTGGCATACACTAATCACTGAGATTGATCATATGGAGCCAATTTGGGGCATTTTTTTTCCCAAATAAATGTTACTAACTATTGAGTTAACATTATACAATACTTTCCTACTGTAATATTTTTGGAAACATTTCCAAGAAAATATAGTTTAATGGAAATAAACGCAAGTTTTTATACCCTTTTTGGCTAGGTGAAAATGTACAGATAATAAGGGGCAAGATTAGAATGCTCTATGTAATATAACTGAAAATAATTTCGGAGAAACCTGCTTTTATATGTAGTTAAATGGGAAATTTGCAGACATTTTAAAATAGATTCAACTATAAAGGTTTAAGAATGGATTAAATAAAATAGGTTGATCCCATGATAACCTTGGAGCAAGAGATGGTTGTAATGTGATTTATCATCAAAATCTTTGACAGTCCCAGCATTATAATTCACCAGAAAAAAATAGTTGTGTAAAGGTGAGATTTGAGGATTGCTAGGAATAACTCCTCTCATGAAAATATCTTTTATAGGTGCCTAAAACTTCATTTTAGGAAGGAGTATACTTTGGGTCTTCAATATTTTTGTAAAGAAAGTAGTGCAGTAGGATGTCAAACAGAATTGGGTTTGAATTCAAACTCTGTCACTCACTAGATACAGCCTTAGATAAAATACCTAACCTTTCTGAGACACAATTTCTTTATTTATAAAATCAGGTTAATAATACTTAACTTCTAGCCAATTATGGAAATTAAAACTACAATAAGCTAAAACACAAAAATCCTTTCTGGAAAATAATTTTCTTCCATCATCAAATAAAAAAAATTCTTCAAGAGTTTATTATTTGAATGATTTCTTCCAGCTAGTGGAGGGAACTGTGTATCCTTCTTGATCTTAATGTAGGATAGTGACCCTGAAAATTAATGTGTGTGGATGATGAGTCTAGAGGAAAAAGAAAGAATATATAAGGGCAACTTCTGATAATTTTATGATACATTTTTTTAACTTTTTTTTTTTTTTTTTTTTTTTTTTTTTGAGACGGAGTCTCGCTATCGCCCAGGCTAGAGTGCAGTGGCGTGATCTCGGCTCACTTCAAGCTCTGCCCCCTGGGGTTCACGCCATTCTCCTGCCTCAGCCTCCCGAGTAGCTGGGACTACAGGCGCCCGCCACCTTGCCAGGCTAATTTTTTGTATTTTTAGTAGAGACGGGGTTTCACCGTGTTAGCCAGGATGGTCTCGATCTCCTGACCTTGTGATCCGCCCGCCTCGGCCTCCCAAAGTGCTGGGATTACAGGCGTGAGCCACCGCGCCCGGTCACATTTTTTTAACTTTAATACAGTAATTCCAGCTCTGAAATTTGATACTATGGAATAATTGTCAACACAAACTCTATACAATGAGATGTCTGTGCATAATTTTTAAATAGTAACATTCATAACAATAAAAATAGAAAAAATATGTTTAAGGATAGAAAATTATTTAAATATATCATAATACAGCCATTGTATAAAGTTTTATGCAATAATTTAAAAAGACTTACCATTGTAAGAGGAAAAGGTAATTGATGTCTATATTTACATGTATAGAAATATAAGATTGGGAAAAAGTAGAACAAAATTATCATGGACTATATGGAGAATATATTCTCATATAGAAAATATATTTTCTCATAGAATATATGTATATGTATGTATACAGAATCTCATTAATTTTATGGGAGACATTTTTTCTTACTTTTCTCTCTTCTATGAAAAAGGCTTCTATTGCATGTACAGAAACCAAAATAAAATAATGGATGAAGCATAAATTTGTCAAAGCAAATGTCCACAGCAGTCTGTAGTCATTGTGATGTCAGAACAGTAATGGACTTACTGGCTTGACAATAGACTATATTAGTTTCTAAGCTTCATGAACTAAAATTCACCAAGTAGTTGCTGGTAAAGTAACAGTCATGTGATAGTTGCTTTTTATGTATTTTACACATTAATACATAAAACCATAGTAGAACAAAATTCAAGATGTTCAGAGCTAAGTATCACTGATAACTTGAAATAAATAGTCCATTAGATTTGAAAACAAAATTTAAAAAGTTTAAGTTAAGGCTGAAGATGTTACTCTTTTCTGAATACCATTCCTTTACTACTTGTTGGCTTAACTGAACTTGTCTTCAAACTACCTTTCCATTTTTTCACAAAACATTTTCGAGGCTGTGGGAGCCACCAGCATTTTCTGGACTCAAGGCAATGGCATTACAGATGCCATAGCCACATTTCTCCATTGTGGGCTTGGAGAAAGCTAATCAACCAAATATTCCAATGTGAAATTTCTGCAATATCAGAAAAATATACAAGTCTAAAAATGAAGTATTATGTTTGAACCCTTAATTCCTTTATCTTGATAATACAATTGTCCCTTGGACAGCACAGATTTGAACTGTGATCTACTTATAAGTGGGTTTTTTTTTTCACCAAATGCAGATGGAAAATACAGTATTCATGGAATGCAAAACTGAAATATATGGAGGGCTGGCTTTTCATATTCGGGTGTTCTGCAGGGCCGACTGCAGGACTTGAATAGGCATGGATTTGTTTTACATGGGAGTCCTGAACTCAATCTTCCACAAATACCAAGGGATGATGGTATATACGTCAAAATACACTGGACCCACCATATCCATGGTTTCTGCATCCAGGGATTGAACTGTGGATAGAAAATATTCAAAAATGAAAACAATAGAAAATAACAATACAACAATAAAAATAATGCAACATTTGAAGCAAAGGGCAGATCTCTTTTCTGTCCAAAATAATGGAGATAATGTGTCTCTCTAGGGTAAATGTAAAGCAGATTTGCTTGCTTTCTATTATGACACCTTGGGATTTTCCGAGCTTGATAGTTTTCTTAGGAATGAGCAAAACTAGTGTATGCAACCCACCTGAAACATTCATCTGGCTTAGTCTGTGTTGACCCGATGAGATTGGGAGGACAAAGTGGATAGATACTAAAATGAAGCTCATGCTGCTTGTTGTGTTGTTTTCTGCCAATGTCCATAAAATTGTTGCAGACCAATTTATGAGACTGCAAGCAGGGTAAAATCTCTGACCCTTCACATTCCCTGGTAGAAACTGAGAACTAAATTTCTCACTATCTTTAGCAACAGCACAGCACCTATTGTTGCATATCTCTATGTCAATTCTTGCATGAATATTTTGATCTCATTTTCTGTTTCTTCAGACTACCTGAGGACTGTTTATAATACGTATTACTTAGTGATGCAAAACATGCATGTATAATGTATGTATAGGTGGGTACATAAATATTGAGATTAAGAGTTAAGATATAAACATCGATTCTTTGGAATGCATTTATTTTTATCGAAGAAGTACAGATCTGATACTAAGAAAAAAGGAGAAGCAATAAAAAATAAATACTGGCTACTAGTTTCCTTATTTCTTCCCTATTCTCTCTATACCTCTGATATCTTTGTATTTTTAAGTGACCTAGTTTTATTCCTTGTTAATTGTGAGGAAATAAGAGCTGTAATAAGAGCTGTGGAGACATAAGAGAAAACAGAGTAGAAGAAGAGTGGCAGAGAGACAGAAAGGAAAAATCCAGAGATAAATTAAAAATTGGATTATCTCCCTTCTGTCTTCTGATGATTCTTTATTCTGCTTTCTGTACTCTGATAATGAAGTACAATTTACATGTTAACTTTTTACCAAGTTGACATTTAGAGGGCAATTTTAAGTGGATCCCTTCTGACTCAGCAACTTTCTACATTTGATAATGCTTATTGTTTTACGTACATACACAGATTATTTCTGGCTTCACATGGGAATTTCAGTTTGCCTAGATCTGAAAGGTTTTTTTTCTAGCTTAAGAGAAGCATTTTGGGAATATAAGCTGGGATCTACATTTGGAGTGTTTTGTTGTACAAAAGTGATGAAAAACCTTTTCTAAAACTAGGGAATATGGGAAATAAAGCTTAGAAATCAGTAAGAAAGAACTTGATCAACTGACTAGGGAGGAAAGTAGATGATAAGACAAAGGCAGAAATTAAAAATTGGGGACATAGATGGAATGAAGAAATTTAATAATTGGAAAATTCTAGTTTGATGATTGGATTGATTTTGATAAAATGTATAAACAATAGGTGGTGACATGACAGAATATTGTTTTGTTCATAATATTAAAGAGAAATTGGGAGGAGAAATTTATTCATAACATTAAAGAGTAACCAAGAAAAACATTAAAAATTATGATTGGTTAACACACAGATTAAGGAAGTGGAATGCTTTTTGAGGGCAAACTGATACTTTCTCAAGAGAGAAGATGTTTCTGTCTCTTACACTGCTTTTGCGGAGTGGAAATTGTTCCAGAATTAGGATATTACCTGTATGAGTTTCCTGTGACTGCTGTAACAAGTTGCCACAAACCTGGTGGCTTAAAACATCAGAAATTAAATCAGCAAGGCTACATTCCCTTGGAAGGTTCTGGGATAGAGTCCATTCCTTGCATCTTCTAGATATTGGTGGCCACTAGTATTCCATGACTTGTGGCCACATCACTCCAATCTTTACCTCTGTATTTACGTTGTTTTTTCCTCTGTCTGTGTTTGCCTAATTCCTTCTGCCTTCCACTTATAATGATACCTGCAATGGCATTTAGGGCCCACCCAGGTAATTCAGGGCAGTCTCCTCATCTAGAAACCTGGTTTTACTACATCTGCAAAACTTTCCACGTAAGATAACATTCAGGAAATCCAGGGACTACAACCTGCTACTTTAAAAGGCCACCATTGAGCCCACATCACTGCCTAACAGTGACTGGCCAAAGTGGCAGCTGGTGACTAAGAACCCAGTCATTTTTCTGTCTAACAAGCTGTGCCATCCAGAGGTCAATGCACCCTTTTATAACTTGCACCATGGACATTGTTAGAACTCAGTACTTTTGGAAAAATATTTGAAAAGTTGATAGAAATACCAGATTTTCATAAGGCAAGGTTTTACCTAGGAGGCAATCCCAAAGATGTCATTTGACTATGAAGGAACAGTGGATTCAAATGAACAGTAATTCAGAAGGAAAAAGTCTTGGAATAACAGAGAAATTTCTTTGGTTTTTTATACAAACCAAACTAAAATACTTCTTTTGAAGTATTCATTTTTTTATTTCCCAAATGAACAGACTTCTCTCATTTATTTTTGAAGAAATATATTTGAATGAAAACACTTGATGGTAAGTATCTGCAACAGTTCATTATCTCCTCTATTAAAATAGAAGCCCTAGCTGTGTAAAACCATGGGGAACAGCAGAAACATGCTTTTTACTTTCACAGAAGTTCTTCATGGGTTAATGTAAAGAGGACTAGATTTAAAATTATGGAAAGGCAACTTAACTGGCTGTATCACTAGCTTTGATTTTGTGCAAGTCATTAAACTTCTTTGAGCTAAAGTTTCCTCTACATAATAGTAACAGTCATATCTACATCACAGGAATGCTGCTAGTGACATAGGACCATATAAAAAAACACTAAACATGGTATCTAGAAACATAAATTTACATCGTATTCTTTTTTATTTTTGAGGGAGAGATGACATGTAACAAAAAGCAGAAACATACCCAGAATGAGCTGTGAGGCAGGAATTGCACAAGTAACAATCTAATGTTGCTTTCTTTGGTCATTTATTCAAATGTTAAAAATTACAATTATTCCAAGGTATATTAGTGGATGTTAATATTTTCTTTTTATACTTACATAGCAGAATTATGCTCATTCTGCACTATTTCCTTTTTCTTTTGAATACATGGCATATGACATTGCCCTATCTTGCATGTAGTTAGGTAACAATTATACTGAATTAAGGCTAATCGAATATGGATCTAAAAGATATACGCCACTTCTAGACCTGGCCCCGAGAAATCTCTCATGAAATATTCCATGCAATACTTGTTTCTTTGCCTGCTAGACAGATGCAGAAAATTTAATAGAAGTCTCTGAGGCCCTGGAGTAGAACTGTCCATGGGCTAAATCTAGCTAGCCTAAATGTTTTATTGGATTTAAATTTGAGACTGTATTATAAGTGTATTTTTGTAATGTTTCATTAAAACAGATGCATGTTCATTCATTAATGCTGGTTTCTTGCTACAATGGCTGAGTTGTATAGTAAGGCTGAAACTGTATGTCCACAAAGACTAACATATTTACTATCTGGTGCTTTAAGGAAAATTTGCTGATCCTTTCCCAAGAGCATAATGGACATGCAAGATAAAGGGAGCCTACATCTCTTAATAATTGAAGAGAGCAGAATGTCCTTTATCTGTCCCTTCCCACAGCCCTGTGCTTATTCATGTTGGATTGCAATATGAGTGAGAAACTTAATTTAAGATTAAGTTTATGGTTTTTTTAAATTTCTGCAGCTAGCATTTACTTCAATGCAGAAATTAGTACTGGCAGTGGGATGATGTTATAATAAAACCTAAAATATATGGCATGTTTAGCTGTGGTGTGATAAGTTGCACCAAAACCAATACCAGAGGCAGGCAGTATGTTTATCTGCATTATATTTGGTGAAAGCATTTTCTACAATAACTTGGAAATCAGACTTTATGCCTTCTTATGCTAGTAGATCTATGAGAAATGGATAATAATAATCAGAACATAAATGTGTGTTGGCTACTATTGCCTGTCATTGGCAAGATATTACAAAATCCAAGTGAGCTCAGGAAGGATTATGCCAATTTGCAAGCAGAGGTGAAAGGAAATAGTGTCCAGAAATTCAAGGGTTTTCAGTGCCATAAAAGTTTCCAGATCACAGATAGTCAGGGTTGTGATTTTCAAAAAGCTCTGAGCTATGAAGGCCCAAGGAGATTACTCAGTTGAACTGTGACTCAGCTCTGCAGCAAATTAGATCAATAGTGTTACATTCTAACTGAAGATTATTGTTTCAGATAGTCTCAAGGTAGTCACCATTAAATTGAAAGAGATGGGCATCTGAATGGAGTAATGAAGCAAAGGAATAAAGAATATTTGAGAATTATACTTAATGAAAGAAACTTGAATGTGGTTACCAGGTTATAGAGCCGATTGGAAGCAATTACATCAGGGGCCTACTAAGTTTTTGAGATAACTGTGTTTCCCAGGAAATGTGTAAACATTGACTAGCAAACAAACAAAAAACAAAAAATGCATTGCAAGCTTTAAAACCATTCCCTGTGGGAAGAAGGCAGGAGGAGCCCTATAGTCCTTAAGGATGGGTGTAATTTCCTAAAGCCTTTCAGGTGTGACCATGAAGATTTCAGGTAAGAAGGATCCACCTTGGGTCAGAGTTATGGACCATAGAGAGCAGTGACGAAGGCATTTCTCTCAGCATGCAGAATCATCAGGGATCTTCCTACATCTCCATGTTGGAGGGCCTCCTCAATGTTAGCCGGTATCACTATCAGTCTATGTCAGTCAGTATCACTGCAGACTACTGACTGATGCATTTTTTTTCCGTTCATTGAGGTTATTCTACATTTGTTCCACTGCTATATATTGGGTTGATGACAGGGGCAGGAGGAAGAGTTGGAGGGCAGATACTTATTTTTTTTTAATTGACAAGTCACTGAATCATGAGGAATCACAGATGAAACTTTGCAATTTCTTCAAGGGGAGGAATAACAAGCATATTCAATGACAATAACAATGGTCTGAGTCAGAGATAACTCTAGGTTTTCACCAAACTTCATTTCTCTTTCCTCCGGGCAACTAGCTAAACTGTATTTCTCTGAAACCTTGTATTGAAATGGAGCCACCTGACTGAATTCTGGCCAATGGTACGTGGATGGAATTCATGTATGTTCCTTCCAGACTGTCCCTTCATTCTTTGCGCCTCCTCCCTCCATCTACTCTCTCTTTTTTTTTTTTTTTTTTTGTTTCCTGCTAGCCATTAAGGAAGTATGTAGATCTTCAGAATGGTGACAGAACAGGAAGAAAACCTCCTGGGTTACTGAAACACTGCATAGTGCAATATCCCCCAAAATTGCACTGGAATGTGATATGAGTCAGAAATTAACTCAGTGACTTAATTAAGCCACCAAAATATCCAGATGTATTTTACTCCAGCTAGTATTTGTTCTTACAAATGAAATTTCATGAGTTTTCGCCCATGAGTTTATTTTTGCATTTTTACTGTTCTCTGTTTTGTCTCTTGCTGTGTAATTATATGACAGCTTTCCTCACTTTGCTGAACAATTTGCGAATTTTCATAGACCTCGTTCTTAGAACTTTTACCTTTGTTGTTCTCTATGTTTTATATTCAGTCTCACTTCTAAATGCATTATTCAAAGAACAAAATAGAGTAAACATCATATAAAAAATTATGTTCCCTTGAACATAGACTATTTCAGGTTCCATTTTAAAATATTTGTTTAGGGTAGTTTTATAGATTTGTTATCTAAAAGACATATCACAAGTCTTTAGATATATGGCCTAAAAGTCAGGATTATCTCTTCTCAGTATTGGCACATATGAACTTGTTTTAGCTTTATTTCCATTTGAGTCTGCCTTTTCAACATTCTTGTCCTTTTTCTGTATTTCTTAGCTTTGTAAATAGTTTTTCCTCTTCTGAACTCCTGCATTCTTGAGGAGAAAAATAAATTCCAGTAGAGCAATTTCTCATGAGTATTTCCCCAGTAAATATTTTAAAATATTATAGTAGTCAATCTCTTTCCAAAAAATTGCATCTTTTTATTTTTTCCTTTCTTTCTTTGACTTAATAAAAGGTAAACTTTGAAAGTGCAACAGTTTTGTGTAGAGTTTAAAGATTCTAGAGCACCGTTATGTGAAGATGAGTTTCTTAATGATGGGCTCAAAAGGCAATTAAAATTTTTATTAGGATATAATTTTTAATAACACATTTTTTCCCTCCAATCTCAAAATCTAAATCTAGTCTTCTGACTGAGAAATCTTACGTTTTTTTTTTTTTTTTTTTTTGGACAGAGTCTTGCTCTGTCACCCAGGCTAGAGTGTAGTGGCACAATCTTGGCTCACTGCAACCTCTGCCTCCTGGGTTCAAGTGATTCTTATACCTTCATACCTCAGCATCCTGAGTAGCCAGGATCACAGGCCTGTGTCACCATGGCCAGCTAATTCTGGTATTTTTTTTGGTAGAGACTAGATTTTGCAATGGTCTTGAATTCCAGGCTGGTCTTGAATTCCTGGCCTCAAGTAATCCGCCTGTCTCAGCCTCCCAAAGTTCTGGGATTACAAGCGTGAGACACCATGCCCAGCCTCTTACGATTTTTTGATAGAATAAGTTTAACTGGATGTAAACCCAGAACAACTTCTCTAACATGCTTACTAAATAAACCTCTTTATTACACTTACTACACCAGATTTATTGTGAAACTAAATAATGTGAAAGACAGAGAAAAATTATTGAACTGTTTTTGGATTGAGCACAGTGGTGGAGTGAACAACACTAATGAGAATGTTTAATTTCTCAAAATTAAGTCCTTTTAAAATTACTATAGTGAATGGATTGTACATTTAGAAATGTTCATATAAGCATACTTATTTTGACAATTTGCTAAAAATAGGACTTACAAACACTAGTATAAGATATACAACATATAAATAAAATATTATCGTAATGAGTATAGATGTGACACATATTTTGGAATATGTGAATTTTTTAAAATTTAAAATCTAAAAATCTGGAAAGAACATCTAGAGAGATCTCTCACTAGCTGTTTGATCATTCAATTATTTTGCCTTTAATCTTATTTAGATAATGGATACATTGATTATATTATTCAATATCCTTTAATTTTAAAATTTTTACAAAGTTTTAAAATTTTATTGTCTATGATTTCAAATTATACACTACAAAATTCTATATGGAATTTTACTTATATATTTTTAAAAGTTTTTATTTTAAAATAGTATATGCTTTCAAAGGGTAGGACAATTTTGACAGAGCTTTTGCATTTGGCCTATAAATTCCTTTGCATTGTGACAGCTTATTTTCTAATATTGTTAAACATATGTCTATACCCTGATCCAGCAATTCCATGCCTATGTATTTACCCAAATGAATTAACATATATGTCTCCAGAAATATTGCACAGATATGTTTCCAACCTCTATATTCATAATAATAAAGCACTGGAAAAATTTAGGAGAATGAATATATTGTGGTATATTCATAAATAGAACATCACTCAACAATAAAAAATAATTCACTATTTATATATGTAACAACTTGAATAAATCTCACAAATATTATTTTATTACTAATATAAATGTATTATTAATTCTTGTCAGTAGGTTTAAATTGGCAACAGTGTAAGTACTTACACCATAGAAATTGGCAAACTCTGCAAATCAGGGCTTCCATCCTCCTTAACTCTCTAGGAACTGGTTATTAAACATTTACTAGCACACAACTACATATTAGCTCATTTAGGAACACAAGACATGTAAGCAGTGGATCCAGGATTTAAACCAAAGGGCAGCAAACTGTAAAGGGCTAGTTAGTTAGTAAATATATTTGACTTTGTGGATTATACTGTCTCTGTTGCAGTGACTCTACTCTGCATTTGTAGGGAGACAGCAGCCATAGATAGATAACACTGAAACAAATGTATAAGGCTGTGTTCAATACAACTTTACTTATAAAAATGGACAGCTGGCTAGAATTGGCATGTGGGCCATAGTTTGCTGATTCCTGATCTGAACTAAAGCAATCTGACTTCTGAGTTGGCTTTCTGAACCATCATACCAGTAGTTTGCATCCTCCATGAGTATTGGAGCCTCTTCAGAAAATATTTTGTAATTATTAATGACCAGTTTCTACCCTAGAACAATTTAATCAGATCTCTGTATGTGGGCCTGGTCCTCACGACTTTTTTAAGCTTTTTGGGTAACTCAGATGTATGGGCAGTGTTAAAAAGTCATTGTCCTACATTATGTTGCCTCCAAGCAAGCAGGAAACGATGTCCTCCTTATTCTCTTGATGAAAAAGTAAGATAAGAGCTGTTTGAAGCAAAGGTGATGGCACCTTAGGCAGGGCTGCAATAGGGGTCTTTAGAGGCTCTCAACACAGTTGTTATACTTATTTGCGTCACTCCACAAAATGTAACAGAAAAATTTTATTTTCAAAATGACACAAAACCTAAAGATATGTTGAAATTAAAATACCTTCTATCTAGATCTTTGATTACAAAATTATGGTTAAATTCCTTAAAACTGCAATTTTCTAAGTTTGTGCCCTAAGTTTAGGTTGCTTATTAAGGAACTGAGAATTCTTCCTAAGATATTATGTATCACTTCCAGAAAGTTCAGAAACCTACCAACAACAAAATTCTACCTAATTCCCTGTGTCAATGCAAACAAAGCTATTTTCAGGCTGTGCATACTGGGAAAGTTGAGTGATCTTCATCTTCCCTGTTATTACATCTAGGTACCCCCACCATGATTGCCTTTGTGTTCCTGATTATTTATAGCCAATTTCGGGGACAGGTTTTGTTTTAAATCTTAATTGGTTTAAATCACCCCAGGAAGGGTAATGCCAGCCTGTAATCCTAGCTACTTGGTAGGCTGAGGCGGGAGGATCACTTGAGCCCAGGAGTTTGAGGCTGCAGTGAGCCATAATTGTACCACTGTACTCCAGACTAGGTGACAGAGCGAAAACCCAACTCTGAAAAAAACAAATCTTAAATTTCCAGATCATTATCCTTTGAGTAATCTCACTTTGCAAGTGGCCACAGCTAGGGCAGTTATCAAGCTCCTTGTCAAGCCTTAAAACCTGTAGTGTTTGGTTGTTTAGATAACATTGTGTTGTGCATATCCTAGCAGGATCTGAAAGTTTTTCAAAGCTAAAACTATTATGAGAACTTATCGTTGGTAACTTTGCTTTGCTTGTCATAAATTTGGGCAAATCAGTGCCCATTACTTCTCTGAGTGGGATTTCCTCAGATTTATATTCAGGATGAAAATATCATCCGAGATGACTGTGAGTGAGCTGCTTAGGTTTAAGTACATTCCAGCCACTCTTCTGTTAGCACTTACAAGTGGGCTTGGTAAATTACTTTGCAGGGTCAGTAGAATGCTAACATGCTGGAAACTGAAGGCTAAAAATGACTTATCTGAAGAAGTATGCACAAATAACAATTGTCACTGGAGACAAAGACAAGAAAGTTATCCCTAGAATTTGCTACATAAATAGCACATTGACAAATACGTATCTATATGGTGCCAAACTTCCTAATGAAAATGGAAAATTTTAGTCAAATATTTGATATTTCTATGATAAAAAGTGCATAAACTAAAAAGACACTGTCATACCCATATCATAAAACAAAAAGTTGGATTAGTAAGGCTAGCAGATGGTGTATTGTCATCTCTACATTGAGCTACTGACTAAACTAAAAGTCTATGAAAAAAACAGCTTATAAGTCAGTCCATTTCCATTTGGATTGGGCACATTGTATTTTTAAAGCTACTGTATTAAGATTATTTTAGTTTCATGTATATACAGTGAAGTACAAAATGTTACTTATGCCTCTTGGTTTTGCCCATTTAATCACCAATAAAATGAAGATAAAAAACACTACCAGCAATCCAGAAGCTCCCAGATGCACTTTTGCTATTTCCCAAAGATAACCATTATTCTGAATTTATCAATTATTTTGTCTTAACTTTTACTTCCTTTTAAAGAGACAGAATCTCGCTCTGTTTCCCTGGCTGGAGTGCAGGAGTACAGTGGCACAATCATAGCCCACTGCAGCCTCCAGCTCCTGGGCTCAACCAATCCCCCCATCTAAGCCTCACTAGTAGCCGGGACTACATGTGTGCACCACTATGCCTAGCTAATTTTTTATTTTTGTAGAGATGAGGTCTTACTGTGTTGCCCAGGCTATTCTTGAACTCCTGGGCTTAATTGATTCTTCTGCCTTGGCCTTCTAAACTGCTGGAATAACAGACATGAGCCACCAGGCCCAGCCTCAATTTTTACTTTAAATGATTGGAATGAGATACACTCTTTGTTGTTTGGTTTCTTACATGTCTATGAGATTCATCCATCTATGTTATGGTGTATAGCATTGTTCATTCTTTTTATTTATTTACTGTGGTAAAAAAACACAACATGAAATCTACCCTAATATATATTAAGTATACACTACTCTATTGTTAACTATATACACATTGTTGTACAGAGAATTTCTAGAATTATTTTATCTTGAATAACTAAAACTCTATACTCATTGAAGAGCAACTCACTATTTTCTCCTCCTCCCATCCTCTGAAAACTACCACTCCACTTTCTGCTTCTGAGTTTGACTACTTTAGGTATCTCATATAAGTGGAAACATGTAGTATTTGTCTTACTGTGACTGGCTTATTTTACTTCCCATGATGTCCTCAAAGTTTATTCACATTGCGGCATGCGGCAAGGTGTTCCTAATTTTTAAGCCTGCATAATATTCTATTGCATATATATATATACCATGTTTTTTTTTATTATTGATTTAACCTTCAGTGGACATTTAGGTTGTTTTCCCCTCTTGGCTGTTTTGAATACTGCTTCAACTATGTGCAAATGTCTCTTTGAAATCTTGATCTCAATTATTTTGGATAAGTACCTAGGTGTTGGATTGCTAGATCAATATTTTGAGGAACCTCCATACTATTTTTCATATTGGTTGCATCATTGTACATTCCCACCAACATGGCCCAAGGGTTCCAGTTTATCCACATTCTCTCCAATACTTGTTATTTTCTGTTATTTTGATAATGGCCATCCTACCAGGTTTGAAGTAATATGGTGGTTTTAATTTGCATTTCTCTGATAATTAGTGATGTGGAGCCTCTTTTAATATACTTGTTGATAATTTATATGTCTTCCTTGAAGAAATGTCAATTCAAGTCCTTCATCCATTAAAAAAAATTGGGTTCTTTATACATCTTGGATAGTAATTCCTTATCAGATATATGATTTGCCAATATTTCATCTTATTTTGTACTTTGCTTTTTTTCCTTTGCTGACTGTTTTGTTTTCTATGCAGAAGCTTTTTTAGCTTTATGTAGCCCCACTTGTCTATTTTTGCTTTGTTTGCCTATGTTTTTGGTGTTGTATCCAAGAAACCATTGCCAAGACCAAAGTTATGAGTTTTCCTCTTATTCTAGGAGTTTCATGGTTTCAGGTCTTACGTGTAAGTCTTTAATTCATTTTAAATTTCAGTTTGGTGTGTGGTCCAATTTCCATTTTTTTGTATTGTATATCCAGTTTTCCCATTATCATTATTAAAGAGACTATCCTTTTTCATTTGTGTATTATTGGCACCATTGTGGAAGATCATCTGACAGTATATGCATGGGTTTACTTATAGGATATCTATTCTCTTCCCTTGGTCTGTATTTCTGCCTTTATGCCAGTACTACACTGCTTTGATTATTGCAGCTTTGCCATATGTTTTGAAGTAGGAAGTGTGATGCCTCCAGCTGTACTTCCTCAATATTATTTTGGCCATTCAGAGTCTTTGGTGGTTACACAAAAATTTTATTATAGGTTTTCTATTTTTATAAAAATGACACTGGAATTTTAATATGGATTTCATGGAATCCATTGTTTTGGGTAGTGTGGAGATTTTAACAGTATTAATCTTTCCAATCCGTGAATACAGGACTTTGTGTTTATATTTATGTTTTCTTTAATTATTTTAGCAATGTTTTGTAGTTTTTAGTGTATGAGTCTTTTGCTTCCTTGAGTAAGCGCTCCCCTGTCCTATTTTGGTTATTTGAATGATTTATATTTTTTCATCCACCTGTTCTCAGCCTGTGTGTGTCCTTAAATCTAAAGTGAGTAGCTTGTAGATAGTATATAGTTGAATCTTGTTTTTTTGCTAATGTACTCAGCCACTCTAAATCTTTTATTAGAGAGTTTAATCTATTTACACAGAGAAAGACTTACTATCGTCATTTTATTAACTATATTTGGTATGTCTTTTGGTTTTTCTGTCTTTATCTTCCACTCTTGCTGTCTTCATTTGTTTTATGTTGATTTTTTGTTGTTTTTGTTGGGATGTGCTTTAATTCCTTTCTAATTTTATTTTGTGTATCTTCTATAGATTGTTATTTGAGGTTACTATGGAGCTTACATAAAATATCTTACAGTAATCTATTTCAAGCTAATAACATCTTAACTTTAATCACATACAAAAACTCTACTCTTTTTGTTCTCCCCCACCACACATATACTTTATTTTGTGGATGAAACAAATTATATATTTTTATAAATTTTGTATATTTTCTAGTTAAAGTTAATTTTTATATTTTTGTCTTTTAACTTCTATACTAGAAATGGTTTACTCACCATTATTACAGTATTACAGCATTCTGTATTTGTATATTTACCTTTACCACTGAATATTATGCTTTCATAAAGTTTTGTGTTGCTGTCTGGTGTCTTTTCATTTCAACTTGAAGGTCTTCCCTTGGCATTTCTTAAGAGCCAGATCAAGTGATGATTAACTTCCCCAACGTTTATTTATCTGGGAAAGTTTTTATTTCTCCTTCACTTTTGAAGGACACTTGTGTTGCATGTGGTATTCTTGGTTGGCAGCTTTTTTATTTCAGCACTTTGAATATATCATCCCACTCCTTCTGGCCTGCAATGTTTCTGGTCAGAAAGCCATCGATAGTCTTAATTTGCCTCCCTTGTATGTGATGTCACTTTTTTCTTGCTGCTTTAAAAATTATCTCTTTGTTCTTTGACTTTTGACAATTTGGTTATGATGTATCTTGTGTGAGGATACATTATAATCCTTGAGTTCATCTTTGTTGGAAGGTCATAATGATAAAGGGATCAATTCATCAAGAACATATAATAATTTTATGTATATATGCACCCAACATTGGAGCACTTAAAATATATGAAACAAATATTAACAACACTGAAGGGAGAAGTTGATAATAATTCAGTAATATTAAGGGTCTTCAATAGCCCACCTTCACCAATGGATAGATCATCTAGACAGAAAATTAATAAGAAAGCAGTAGATTTAAGCCATACTATAGATCAGTTGGGCCTACTAGACATATACATAAACATCAATTGCATCCAACAACAGAATACACAATTTTTAAAATAGCATATGGAACACTCCCCAGGATAGATTATATGTTAGATCAAAAAACAAGTAAGTCTTAACAAACTGAAGATTAAAATCATCCCAACTATATTTTCCTACTACAATAGTATGAAACTAGAAATAACAGAAGGAAAATTGGAACATTCACAAATATGTGGACAATAACTATTAGATTTCTGAATAACCAAAGGGCCCAAAGTAATCAATAGGGAAGTAAAATAATACCTTGGAAGAAACAAAAATTTTGTTGGACTTCTTGAATCATGATTTCCATTTCTTTCCCCAGATTCGGAAAGTTTGTTTAACAATTGATATGGTTAGGCTTTGCATCCTCACATCTCATCTTGAATTATAATCCACGTAATCCCCACGTGTCGAGAGAGACCAGGTGGAGATAATTGAATCATGGACATGGTTTCCCCCATGCTGTTCTTGTGGTAGTGAGTTCTCATGAGATCTGATGTTTTTATAAGGGGTTCTTCCCCCTTAGCTTGGCACTTCTCCTTCCTGCTGCCTTGTGAAGAAGGTACCTTGCTTGCTCTTCACCTTCTGCCATGATTGTAAGTTTCTGAGGCCTCCCTAGCCATGCTGAACTATGAGACAATTAAACCTCTTTCCTTTTTAAATTACCCAGTCTTGGGCAGTTTTTTAATAGCAGTATGAAAATATACTAATACAACAATTATTTATTTAAATAAGCTTCCTGCTTCATTCTGTCTTCTTCTGGGAATCCCATACTCACCAATACTGTATATTGGTCAGCTTCATGGTGTTCCATAAGCCCTGTAGGCTTTTTTTTAATTATGTCTCGTCTGATGCAATGATTTCAAATGACGTTATCTTCAGTTTCACCGTTTCATTTCTCTTCTTGATTAAGTCTGCTGTTGAACCCCTTCAGGGAGTTTTTCAATTCAGTTCTTGTAGTCTTAAGCCACACATTTCTATTTGGTTCATTTTAATATTTTAAAAATATTTTCTGTGTCTTTGTTCTTGCATTGTTTTCCTGAGCATGTTGATAGTCTTTATGATGGTTATGTTGAATTTTTTGTTAGGTGATTCATAAACATACATTTTTTAGAGTGGGATTCTGGAAATTTATTTTATATTTTTGCTTGTGCCATGCCTTCCTATTTTTTCATGTGCCTGATAACTTTGTGTTAAAATCTGTGCATTTTAAAAAATAGCCACCTGTCCCATTTTTCGTAGGCTAGCTTCATTGAGGGGAAGGCATTCACTAATCAGTCCTGATAGGGAGTCTTAGGGTGTCTCAGACCTTTTCTGTGAATGTATTTCCTCTAGAATTGCATATGCAATTTCCCAATTAGAAGAGTGCTGGTTTATTTTCAGGGGCTCATAATATTTTTCCCTCTCCTGTTTTCTGTGGCATTCCAGGTTCTCTGGAACTGCCATAAGCTACCCTGCTGTCTTTTGTTCTTAGCGGTCCCAGGCTTCTAGATTATGTGGGATTTTGTCAGCACCCTTAATTGGGCAAGAGTCCTGTAGGAACTCCCTCTGCCCAAAAGGCTAAACACTGGACACATACTCCAACTCTTTCTTTCACTAGGGAGAAGCCAGGAATTGAGGATTTCTCCTGCTTGTTTTGCACTGAGCCAGTGGGGGCAGTTTTTTAAAATTTAATTATTATTTTTAATATTTATTTATGTATTTATACATGTACTTATTTTTGAAATGGAGTTTCACTCTTGTTACCTAGGTTAGAGTGCAGTGGCGTGATCATGGCTCACTACAATCTCTGGCTCCCGGGTTCAAGTGATTCTTCTGCTTCAGCCTCCTGAGTGTCTGGGATTACAGGTGTCTGCCCACATGCCCAGCTAATTTTTTTATTTTTTGAATTTTTTTAGTAGAGATGGGGTTTCACCTTGTTGGCATGGCTGGTCTAGAACTCCTGAACTCAGGTGATCCACCTGCCTCAGCCTTCCAAAGTGCTGGGATTACATGTGTGTGCCACCGTGCCTGGCCTTAAACTTAATTTTTAATTTCATCATTATTATTATTTTACATTTTAGATTCAGAGGGTGCTTGTACAGGTTTGTTACATGGATATATTATGTAATGCTGGGGTTTGGGTTTCTATGGAACCCATCATCCAAGTAGTGAACATAATATTCAAGAGATAGATTTTCTACTCTTGCTTTCTCCTCCTGATTTTGACATACCTGGTGTCCATTGTTTTTATCTTTATGTCCATGTGTACCCATTGTTTAGCTCCCAATTATAAGTGAGAACATGCATTATTTGATTTTCTGCTTCTGTGATAATTCATTTAGGATAATGACCTCCAGCTGCATCCATGTTGTTGCAAAGGACAAAATTTTATCCATTGTAATGGCTGTGTAGCGTTCCATGGTATTTCTGTACCACATTTTCTTTGTTCAATCTACTGTTTGTGGGCACTTGGTTGAGTCCATGACTTTGCTCTTGTGAATTGTGCTATGATAAACATACAAGTAGAGGTATCTTACGAATATAACTTTTTCTTTTTCTTTGGGTAGATACCCAGTAGAGGGATTGCTGGGGTGAATGGTAGTCTTCAGTTCTATGGAAATCTTCATAATGCTTTCCACAGAGACTGAACTACTTTACGTTCCCACCAACACTGTACAAGCATTCCCTTTTCTTTGCACCCTCAACAACATCTTTTTTTTTTTTTTTTTGCTTTTTATAACAGCCATTCTGACTGGTGTGAGATGGCATCTCACATTGTGGTTTTAATTTGCATTTCTTTGATGATTAGTGAAGTTGAACATTTTTTCATATGTTTTTTGGCTGCTTGTATGTCTTTTTTTGAGAAGTGACTGTTCATGTCTTATGCCAATTTAATGAAGTTGATTTTTTTCCTGTTGGTTTGAGTTTCTTATAGCTTCTGTATAGTCTTTTGTAGGATGCATAGTTTGCAAATATTTTTTCTCATTCTCGAGGTTGTCTGTTTACCCTGTTCATTGCTTCTTTTGCTGTGCAGAAGCCTGTTAGCTTTTTTAGTCCTATTTGTCTATTTTTGATTTTGTTGCATTTGCTTTTGAGGCCTTAGTCATAAATTCTTTGCTTAAGCCAATGACCAGAAGAGATTTTCCTGTGTTTTTGCCTAGGATTTTTATAGTATGAAGTACAAAGTTTAAATGTTTAATCAATATCGAGTTAACATTTGTATATGGTGAGAAGTAGGGATCCAGTTTCCATCTTCTGCATATGGCTAGTCAGTCATCCCAGAACCGTTGATTGAATAGGGTTCCCTTTCCCCATTGTTTAGTTTTTCAACTTTGTCAAAGATAAGTCTCTTGTTGGTGTATGGGTCTATTTCTGCATTCTCTATGCAGTTCCTTTGATCTATGTGTTTACATATTTGTACCAGTACCATGCTATTTTGGTTACTATCACCCTGTAGTACAGTTTGAAGTTGAGTACTGTAATGCCTCTGGCTTTGCCTTTTTTTTTTTTTTTTTGCTTAGGATTGCTTTGGCTATCTGGACTCTTTTTTGGTTCCATATGAATTTTAGAATAGTATTTCTAATTTTCTGATAAATGACATTGGTAATTGATGGGAATTGCTTTGAATCTATAGATAGCTTTGGGCAGTATGGCATTTTAATGATTCTAATCCGCGAGCATGGAACCTTTTCCCTTTTGTTTGTGTCATCTGTGATTTCTTTTAGCAGCGTTTTATAATTCTCCTTGTAGAGTTCTTCACTTTCTTGGTTAGATGTATTCTTAGGTGTTTTATTTTTGTTTGTGTGTGGCTATTGCAAATGGGATTGCATTATTGATTTGGCTCTCAACTTTTACTGTATTGATGTATAGAAATGCTACTTATTTTTATACATTAATTTTGTATTCCAAAACTTCACTAGTTATTTATCAGGTCTAAAAGTCTTTTGGAGGAATCTTCTTGGTTTTCTAGGTATAGAATAATTTGATCAGTGAACAGAAATAATTTGACTTCCTCTTTTCCTATTTCATTTTCTTTCATTTCTTTCTCTTGCCTAATTGCTCCAGTTAGGACTTCCAGTATTATGATGAGTAAGAGTGGTGACAGTGGAAATTATTGCCTTGTTCCAGTTCTCAGAGATAGCGCTTTCAAATTTTGCCCATTCAGTGTGGCGTTGGCTGTGGGTTGTCATAGATGGCTCTTATTATTTTGAGGTATGCCTGGTTTCTGTATCTGCCAGATCATGTCCCATTTTTATTGGACTTTAGCATTTTTCTCATCTATTTATATAATTAGGAAATTAATTTTTTGTGATGTTATTTTTCTTACCTTTTAAATGTTTCTTTTGAGTTTCCTCATGGTAGATATTTTTTCAACATAGATTTTTTTAAATTATGTAATTTATTTATACATTTTTCTTTATGACTTTTGAAGTTTTTGTTATTTAGAAAAGTACTACTCACTGAAAAGATAAATAAACTGTACAAAACAAAAATTTCATATTTTAATCTAGAACTTTTGTGGTTTCATTCTTTTGGTTTAAATTTTAATTCATCTAAAATATATTTGGGTTTAAGAAGTGAGATAGATTTCAGTTTTTTTTCTAAGTGGTTATTGCTTTGTCCAAACACCATTTATGAAACAATGTATCTTTTCTAGCTGATTTAAAATTTTAACTGTCTTAATTAAATATATTAGTTTATTTTCAAATAGCATATTATGTTTCATTTGATGTATATGACTTTGTATTCCACAACTTTAGAGCATTAGTGATTACAGATTAATGATATATTTTAACATCTGGTAGTGCTAGTTTTCCCACAGTCTCCCTTTAGAGTTTTTCTAGCTAATCTTTCATGTTCATTTTTCACACAAATTTAGAGTCAGCCTGTCTAGGAAAATAAAAAGTCTTAATGGCATTTTCACTGTGATTCCATTAAAATGTCATATTCACAAATTGAAAAACAAAAAGTTAACATTTTTATGATGGGAAGTTTATCAAAAAACATGGTATGTCTTTTCATTTCTTCAATTCTTCTATTTGGCAGTGTTTTTAAAGCACTCTTAGATCTTGCTTATTTTCTATTAGATTTATTTTTAAGGGTGTTATCTCTCTTTTGCTATTTTTAAAATTACATTATCTGGTTGATATTTGTGTTAAGAAAAACGATTGATTTTCTAATAATTTTGCATTGAGACATTTTATTAAATTCTCTTATTTATAATAATATTTCTGTTTGTTATTTGTTTTTAATGGTAGTTTATATACAAAAATTTTGAATTCTCAGAATATATATTTTATTTGATCTTTAGCATGTCATATTTTCATTATAGTAATTTATCATTTTCTTTCCAATTTTTATGCCATTTATTTTTTGATCTAATTGTCCTGTCTGCCATCTCCAGTTGAAAAGAAATACCATATAAAAAATTGAAGCCCTCAAAGATGATTCTTGAGTCAAAAAGAAATAAAAAAATCATTGTTAGAGAATAGTTAGGAAAAATATATACAGTTAAATTGTGGGTCAGACCCTTAGAGGTATAACCAAACTATTGATCAGAAAAGAAAAAAGTTAAAATCTGAAATACCTAATTTATTCTTATCTTTGTTTATACTTCTTTAAAAATATAAGTAACATAAATATTATTAAAAAGTAAAATAGACTAAAATAAAGCAGAGTAAAGAAATTAGAAATAAAATATTGATGTAGAAAAGAAACACTGTTGAATAAATACAGATGCATATTTTTTAAACTAATGATTATATTAGTTAATATATTTAATGAAAATATGCCTGAAATATTACCAAAATCAAGCACTTATGTAGAACTTTCTGTGTGACAGGTAGTCTCCTATATCTTGACACATAGTTACTCATTAGCTTCTCATTACAAGTAGGTACTTAATAATCCCCATTTTACAATGATGGAAACAAAGAGATTAAATAATTCATTCAGTATTGAACAGTCAATAAGAGGCAGTGCTTGATATCAAACTCAGGTAATCTGACTCAAGAATTTATGTGCTATACCATTTTGATGTATGGTCACTCAAACTTGTATATCCTGTCCCTACTAAACAGAATAAAATTATGATATTTTAACATTTTCTTAATATAAAATTTAAAATAAAAAATTTTAAACTATCAAATATTTAATGTGAATGCTGGATATTTCTTGCAATCAGTTACACTATTGATCATATGGTGGGTTGGATGTGTTCATCTTGGAACAGACGCAATCCTATTTGAAAACATGACATAGATTCAGAAGCACTGATGAAGGTGTTGGGGCCTAATTCTAACACAATCATAACAGCTGAGTATCATTGATATTCTTTTCCACATTAATTAACGTTGCAGGTATAATTTATTTTTACTCTATGAAAGAGTTTACCTTTGAAAGAAAAAGAACTTTATGGAAAGGTTGGCTCTCTCTTTTGTAAAGTCAACAGCCTTATCCTAGTACCAGGGAGAAGTTAATGGGAAAAAGATATGAAGATGTGATTTTAATGTGAAGGTCCGAATGAGGGAGTGGAGATCCAGACTCTCCTGGGATAGAGTCTTTTCCTGTGGGGCTTTATGGCACTTTGCTACTGCTATCAAGCTTTAAATACAAATTTCACAGTGATCTTTTAAACACAAAAATAGTTCTTTGTCATCATTTCCCCATTTCTTTTTCCTTCTTTTGTCACACTTTCATGTTAAACTGCTTCTGTGTATCTTTGAAATCTCCAAAGAAATCACCTCTGCACCATAGCCTTCAGCAAATGCTGCTGGAGGAGGCTGGAATGGATGTAAAGGAACAGTATGTTTTCCCCAAAGACTGTGAAAGTGTACAGCTTTAGCAGCTACAAAATCAGCTACATTCAACATCAGAATATAAAAGGATATGAGATGACTTTTTTCTAAAAATGAAAATAATTTTAAAAATCACTGAGCATTTTCAAAACACACACACACACACAAATTATAAATACCTACTGTAAGTGTGAATGCTTATTATTTTGTCATATTAACTTTGAGATTTTTATGCCTTACAATAAAAGCATTATATTTTGTCATCCTCTCTTCTTACTATCTTCTGTTTTTCTATTTCCTTTTTATCTGTTATACCTTTTCATTTCATTTTGTTGAGTCTTGAGAATGTAGAAATTAACTAAAGTCTGCCATACTGGATTGGAGGATAGGCAACTTTTGAGCATTTTGACAAGCAAATTTCTTTCAAAGAGAAATTGCTATTGCATATGAAAATACCTTTTATTTAAAACAGTAATGTAATAAAATCAATACAGGCATATCTCAGAGATGATCTGGGTTCAGTTCCAGACGACTGCAATAAAGTGCATATTGCAATAAAGTGAGTCACACATATTTTTTGATTTTCTGGCACATGTAAGTAATGATCACACTATATTGTAGTCTATTTAGTTTGCAATAGCACCATGATGTCATGCATTAAAAAATGTACATGCATTAATTTAAAAAGCATTTTATTGCTAAAAATGCTAACAATAATTTGATCCTTCAGTGAATCATAATCTTTTTGCTGGTGGACGGTCTTGCCTCACTTGATGTTGATGGCTGCTGACTGATCATGTGGTGGTTGCTAAAGATTGGGGTGACTGTGGCAGTTTCTTAAGCCAACAATGAAATTTGCTGCATTGATTTACTCTTTCTCTTACTAAAGATTTCTCTGTAGCATGACATGCCATTTCATAGCATTTTACACATAGTAGAACTTCTTTCAAAATTGGAGCCAATCCTCTCAAACCCTGCCATTGCTTTTACAACTAAGTTTATATAATATTCTAAATCCTTTGTTGTCAGTTCCACAGTGCTCACAGTGTCTTTACCAGCAGTCGATTCCATCGCAGGAAACCACTTTCTTTGCCCATCGGTAAGAAGCAATTCTTCATCCATTCAAATTTTATCATGAGACTGCAGCTATTCAGTCACATCTTTAGGCTTTACTACTAATTATAGTTTTCTTGCTATTTCTACCACATTTGCAGTGATTTCCTCCACTGAAGTCTTAACCTCATCAAAGTTTTCCATGAGTGTTGGAATCAACTTCTTTCAAACTCCTGATCATGTTTATATTTTGACCTCCTCTTATGAATCAAAAGTGTTCTTAATGGCATCAAGATAATAAATCTTTTCCAGAAGGTTTTCAAGTTACTTTTCCCAGATCCATCAGAGGAATTACCATCTATAATAGTGATAGTCATATAAAATGTGTCCCCTTAATAATAAAACTTGAAAGTCAAAATTACTCTTTGACTTGTGGGCTGCAAAATAAGTGTATTAGCAGGAATGCAAACAACATTAATCCCCTTGTACATCTCCATCAGTGTTCTTGGATGACCTGGTGCATTGTCAAGTGAGCAGTAATATTTTGAAAGGAATCTTTTTCTGAGCAATAGTTCTCAACAATAGGCTTAAAGTATTAAATAAACTGCTATAAACAGATGTGTTGTCATTCAGACTTTGTTGTTTTATTTATAGAGCACAGAGTGAATTTAATGTAATTCTTAAGGGCCCTAAGGTTTTGGGGGTGGTAAATTAGCATTGGTTTCCATCTAAAGTTACTAGCTGTATTAGCCCCTAACATGAGAGTTAGACTGTACTTTGAAACTTTGAAGCCAGACATTGACTTCTGCTCTCTAGCTATGAAAGTTCTAGAAGGCATCTTCTTTTAAAAGAAGGTGGTTTTGTCTACACTGATAATCTTTTGTTTAGTGTAGCCACATTCAGTAATAGATAGCTAGGTTTACTGGATAATTGCTGTAGATTCTACATCAGCACTTACTGCTTCACCTTATATGTTTATGTAATAGAAGTGGCTTCTTTTCTTAAACTTCATAAACCAACTTCTGCTAGCTTCCAACTTTTCTTCTGAAATGTCCCCACCTCTCTCAGCCTCCACATAGTTGAGTAGAGTTAAGGCCTTGCTCTGGTTAAGGCTTTGGCTTAAGAAAATGTTTAGCTGGTTTGATCTTCTATCTAGACCACTAAAACATTCTCTGTATCAGCAATAAGGCTGTTTCAATTTCTTATCATTTGTGTGCTCACTTTTAATTCTCTATAAGAACTTTTTTTGCATTCACAACCTGCCTAAGTGTTTCATGCAAGAGCTCTAGGTTTTGGTCCATCATGGATTTCAACATGCCTTCCTCACTAAGCTTAATCATTTCCAGCTTTGGATATAAAGTGAGAGACATGAGAGTTTCTTTTCACTTCAACACTTAGCAGCCATTGTAGGGCTATAAATTGGCCTAATTTCCATATTGATATGTCTCATGTAATGGGGATATAAAGTGAGAGACATGAGAGTTTCTTTTCACTTCAACACTTACCAGCCATTGTAGGGCTATAAATTGGCCTAATTTCCAAATTGATATGTCTCATGTAATGGCGATGCTTTAGGAGGGCCAGTTGATGAAGCAGTTTATGTTGCAAACATGCAACATAAATCAATGAAGTTTGCCATCTTATATGGACATGGTTTGTGGTATCTTAAAACAATTACAGTGGTAACATCAAAGATCAATGACCTCAGATTGCCAAAATAGATATAATAATAATAATGAAAAAGTATAAAATATTGCATGAATTATCAAAATGTGTCAGAGACACAAAGTGAGCACATGCTGTTGGAAAAATGGCGCCAATAGACTTGCTCAACAGAGCATTGCCACAAAACTTCAATTTAAAAAAATCATAATATCTGCAAAGTACAGTGAAACAAAGCATAGTAAAATGAGGTATGCCTGTAAATAATCTTAATAGTTTTTGTACTGCATATTACAAATAGTTTAAATGGAAGTAGAATCTTTTGAAACATTTTTATTTTAGCAAATACATCTGGATCAACTAACCCAAAAGATGAGAGAGGAGTATTGGTTTGGAGAGCTCATATACATATAATTGTGACGTGAAAGCTTTGTGGGCCACTGATTAGCATTAGTAATATTTTGAAATATTTTCTTGCACCTAGACAATATGTGGTAGAGCCTTGAAAAACACCTTCTTCAACCCACACAGCTGAAGAACAAACTTGATTTACTGAAAGTGCATTTAAAAATAAACTTAAATGTAAACTATAGACTGGATTGTGACAGAATATTCTTAGGAAAATGAACAGATTAGTAGATATTTACTAACATGTTAATAGTACTTATTCACATAACATATTAATAGTACTTATTTCCAAGTAGTAGAATTTGTGGTAATTGTAATTTTTATTCTCTATGCTTTTCAGATTTTCCCTTTTTTTTCTTTGCACAGAGACATTCTATTGCTTTTTCAATGGTTATACATACATACCCTCCCCACTGCTAGAGTCACAAAAGTAGAGATCCCTGCAACCTAAGCTATCATTGCTGAATTTGAATCCCAAAGGATAACTTATTTCATTCAATAAATATTTAGAGGGCATTTGTCATGTGCTAGGCACTGTTCTACATTCTTGCTATACAGCAATGAACAAAAAAGACAAAAATTCCCAATTTCTCTTATTCAAGTATTGACAGGCAAAAAGTCAATAGTATCTTAGGTTATAGTATATGACAAAATATAGCCAGATGGGAGAAGATAAGCCAGAGAAGCGGCAGAGTGGAGAGTGGGTAGAACAGGATGTTTTCTAGCTGCAGTTGTCAAGAAGGGCTCTGGGCTGAAACTTGAATGAATTGAGGGAGAGAACCATGTAATCCCTTATGCGTGAGTGTGTGTGTGTGTGTGTGTCTGTCTGTGTGTGCATGCATGTATTCGTAGGGGGATAATGTGGCTAAATTAGAGCAAGAGGAGTGTGGATAAAGAGAAGTAGCCAAGGTCCAGGTTCTGCAGTGATAAGAGCAGACATTTTTAGGTTTGGAGAGGTAAGTGAAAAGAATGCTTAATGGAAAATAGCCTGTCTTTTGTGCAAAAGTAGATTCAGATAACAATGTTAGGAGCCTATGGCAATAGCGAGAGATGTTTGTAGCTTATACAGGCGGCAGCAGTGGTGGAAATGGTCAGAAGTGGTGAGATTTTGGGTGTATGATTTTATGAGAGAATATTCCTGATTTGAGGATTCATGAGTATCTCCTAAGTTTAAAACAATTAAAGTTTTAGATTGCTATTCTGATTTTCCACAGCATATTAGTCTCTCTTGGATGTCTTAAAAGCACAAAGTGTCTGACGAGTCAAATGGAAGAATTTAATCTAGTTGATGTCATATGTAAATACGATTGGAACCACTGTTATTTGGAGTTATGTCTTGAAGATATATGTACACATTATTCTTTTTGAAAATGCTTTTTTTCCATTTGATGACACATGACAGAGGTTAGCCTGAGATGAATGCCAAGGTAAAGCTGAATCACTTATTTCTTATTCTGGAACTTAGCTTTAAAGGCATGATGCTATTATAAATGTTTGTATTTATTGAAAACAAATGATTGATAAAAAATGGATAGATGTTCACTTATATTGTTTTAATAAAATGGTCCTTAAAATAGTATTAAAAATTTTAAAGAATATGTTTTATTTAGAATTATATAGGATGGCAGTTAAGTCTTCCCTGACCTTAGATGAATGATACTTTTGGCAAATACAGGTTAATCACAAAGTAGACTACTAAATTAATTCTGAAGGTCAATTACAATAGCATTTCTCCCATGTAATATATAAAACATTTGTCATATTCCTCCTCATCAATATTTTTAAGGTTATTGCTATTTTGGGTGTACATTATTATAATAAATGACATCACTCTTTTTTACTTTCATTTTAGAAGAAAGTGCTTGAGTGACTATTTACAAAGCAGAAATTAAAGTGACTCACATGCTTGTTTGCATTTTCTTCAGAAAAATTATCAGGAGTTTAGCTGGCTTTTTTTAGTGTCTACTTTTTGCTCCCATGATGATTATCATAGGAGATGATGTATGTAATCTACATTCAAATTGTTTATATGTATGGTTCAGAATTTGAGACTGATAATCTGGAATGCAAATCAAAATGAATGGTTTGGCATCTGAAAAGTTCTCTGCATAAAAGTGAAATGAATATCAATTCTGTAAAGTAGTTCCATTTTTATCACAAAAATGGCATGGTTACACTTTTTAGAGTTTATTATATTTATCTTTTATTCTCATTAATTTGTGCAAATTAAATCAAGTTCTTTTCCTTTTTTATTAAGTGACACCCACAATTAGAAGTTTTAATGGAATAGAGTTTTTCACAATGTAATAGACCTTCAGCTAGAAAGAACAGAGAAGGGCAAGATATTTATCAGAAAATAATCATCAAGGTGAATAAAAAGACATTCTTTCTCGAACAGCGTGTTTTCTCTCTGTCACCACCTTCTGCTCCCTTTTCCTTTGGCTTTTTCTCTATAGTGGTTCATGATTAATGACTGTAGTACTGCTTTATTGTCTCAGTACTATTCACTTCAAGTGGCACAAAAACTCCTTATGATTCAATCTGATTGGCTCATTTGATCTTTTTTCCAACCAGACTGCATTAAATATACATTCAGTCAGATATCAATTAGCAAAAAAAAATCTGTATAAAGCTGTGCTTAGCGGTTTATTGAGAGGTGGCACTAATAGCTTTCTGCTTGGTTCCTTGATTTGCATATTTTTCTCCTTGATTTTCAGTATTTGAGGGTTTTAACATTTAATATTATTTGATATGAGAGGGAAAATAACTTCACTTTGCCATCATAATCATTGGGATTTTTCTGGATTATCTAAACTTGGATGTGAGAATTGCTGTTGTAATGGTGGCATCAAAATATTTATTTTTTATTTTTTTCATATTTATCCAGTGCTTACCATGTGCTAGGTGCTGGCTTGGTGAAACCATGAGGTAAAGCTCGTTCTTTCCATGTGAATTCTATTTACTGACTCTCACACTCCCTGTTAGCTGTAACAAATGGTGAATAGTTTTTAAACCTAAACTTTTATAAATGTGTTTTTCTATTCTTCATATGGAGTTATTTTCCCTTAGTTCTCTAGAGTAACCCAGAAATTACTGATCATGATTAACTTCCCCTCAATATTACTCACTTAGCTTAACTACAGAGAAAACACAGAGCACATAATGTGGATTTTCAGGTGCAAGAGAATAAGCTTCACAGTGGAGCATTTTAGTAGCCTAATGGCAACAAAAGACCACAATGCAACCATTGCTTCTGCAGACAGACAAACTTTTTTTTTTTATCACTAACAAAAGGATTTATCTGGTGTTTTAAATATCCTTGCATCATCCTTCTTGCATAGATACCCAGATGTATTTCTATTTCAGCATTCTTCAGACAGCAATAACAGATAAAATAGTCATTCAAGAATGTCATAAAAGAGGGCATTACTCAAACTATGATATAAAGGCAAATGAAATATCAGCTACCACCAGAGAGAATACAGTACACTTTGTAGCAGTACAAACAGACAGTACATTTTCACAAAATAGAGATTGCCAGTTGAGTTTATTTATTGATTCATTAGTCATTTGCAATATTTCCAGTCACTCCCAATAGTTCTCAGTGCTGTAAATCCATTTCACTGCAATTATAATTAATACCCAGAATCTCAAAATCTGAGACAATTTTTCAGATAATAGAAAATTATAAAACAACAACAGAAACAAAACCAGAAGTTTATGGAAAAACATTTTTTTCTCATTTCTAAGTAAGGTCAATTGAAGTCTCTGTCCAATTTCATCAGATGACTGTGTTCATGGATTAAATGTTCCATAAGAACATTCTCCATTTTACATTCCACAGTGGCAAAAATCCACCAGAAAACATAAGGTAATTCTTGATTTGATACCCAATATCTAGTAGAGTCTGACATAAGCTCTTGATAAATAGTTGTTGGAGTTACGCCTCAGTGAAAAAATGAATACATTAACTCAGAATTCAACTAAAATGAGCCAATTCAAAGATTCTAGCTTGGGTAAATAAATTCACCAGTTATTATGCATTACATGCAAACACTGCTCCTTTTCCGGGGAAGTTTCTTTCAGTCGATTCATTTCTACTTACCACGGTGTTAGCGTCAATTGTCCAAAGATGTGTTTCCTATTTCCCTCAAGGCATATGTTATATTGATGAATCAGCAGGAGATCAACATTAGAAAATGTAATGCAGTTTCTCAATAGGCACCATTACTTGAGTCAATTCCAAGAACATTAGCTCTGGCCATATATAAATGTAATTTTAAAAATCCAAACATTGAATTTAAATTACTTTTGAATTATCTACCATTTTGGTTTATCTAATCTCCATTTGTTAGATAATTCAGAGTTGGCATTTTGTATTCATGATTATTGCTTGAGTACATGACTGAGATTATATTTAAATGCAATCATTTACTGGAAACAAAATTAAGTGCTACACTTTTCTTGTCCACTGTGATGAACAAACTTTAATTCTCACTGATTTGTAAGTTATTACATAACCACAGCATTTATATATTGTCAGAAAGCAATCTCAAAAATAATCTATGAAGAACAATGCACAAAATGAAGAGATTACGAGCTCATGAGATTTTAGTCTAGGCCTTCCTTATTAAACTATTTAAAGTCCTTCTACTAGGGTTGTATAATAAGCCCTCAATGTTGTCAATAGATTCTTGGAAATTTCAGCTAAGTGAAATGATGTACAGCAGGTCATCAAATAACATTTTTCCCTTCAATTTTGTTTTGTTTTAAAGTTGATGAGAAAAAATGGCTTTTGCATACACCATTTCACTTAAAATTATAGTTTCCAAGAATCTACTGACAATGTCAAGTGAGGACTTAATGCATATATTTTAAACAACTTTTCACTATCTTATTTTTGGAAAGGAATATTGCTGATCAGTCTACAAGGTTATGAATTTACTCTGTAGACATATCAGCTTATTAATCAAGTAAAGTTTTGGTTGGATTTAGCATGTAATCAATGGCTCGTACATAATGGTAAGTCACTGTTTCCCAAAACAAAGTTTCAATGCTACAGTTTGTTACACCTCAAAATTCTTCTCATAACTTTTTAGGCTTTTTCTATTCATTACATAGTATGAGATAATAAAAGAATGAGTTGTTTATACATTGATACTGATGAAAAGAAATAGATTGTGCTTTTGTGTTTCAGGTGCTCTGTCTTGTCTTACTCCCAAATGAAAAAGAGAAAGGAGGACTGGGAGATGGGAGCTCTAACTTCTTTCAGCCACTCTCTGTGTAGCATGAGGAAGTCATAGACATTCCTGGGGTTCATTTGTAAAATAAGAGTATTCAACTAGATTTTTAAAATGAGTTTCTGTTCAATAATAAGATATGGGTTTTCTTTCATGAAGGGCTAAAACTCTCCAGTCTTTTGCAATGTTTGGACCTCATATTATTTTCTTCTTCCTCCTTGTCTCACTTCCTTGGCCTCATACTGTGTGATACCCTTTACACAGAAAGAGTCAGGAGCTCAGGCACTTAACTGTCTTTAGTGTCTATCCTGGTCCTCCCAAAGAAGCTACATACTGCTAGTCTTCCTAAGTATACTTACTTGTCTGTTTAACCAAAGGATTAAAAGCTTACTGAGGAAAAGAATCATCTTGTACTTTAATACATCCAAAGAACCCATCATTTTTTCCTGGCAAATAGGTGCTCTAAAACATTTGTTGAATAATGAAAATGTGTCCAAGTTTCCTGTGTCTTTAATCTTCTTTGTGTGACACTTTGCTTTGCCAAGAGTGTAAATCTTTGCTCAACTGTAACATTATTCTAGCTTATTAAAGGGGAAGAACTTCCTTATTGTAAATGCATTGCTAGGAGCTATGTAAATGCATGGCTTGGGACTAAAAGCCACAGTGGTATCAATATCCAGGATATTTGCGTGATGCCAGTAAACAAAGGGAAAACTCTACGGAGAAAAACGAATCCAAGTCAGCTCTCTTTAGAGACTTTTTCTGTCTTGATATATACAATGTAAAAACACTGAATGTTACCTGTAGGGACAGAGACCTTTTTCTCCAATATATCTAACAGCTACAAAACTGTCTACAACTATAGGATAGAATATTACATATTCTTCAGTCTAGTTGACTTACTATTATTATTGATATGTGATTATTAAGTTATTTAAAACAAGTAACTGAGAAAAGATTTTTAAAACATAAATAGTAAACACTGGGAAACAGCAACAACAAAATCTCAGGAATCACTGACCTTTCACTTTACATATTGAAAATAGAAGCTAGGGTGATTTGAGACTTACCCAGTCTCATAGTTTATCACATAACTGGGCCTCTTGACTCTATTTCCATCTTGTTAATTTCACATTATGGAACCTAACATACTTTTGTGTGCTTCTGTGATATTACAAAGATTTTTTCCTGTGGAATATTATTTCTGTTGTCACAATGAAAGTCATAGGGAATAATTTTACTTATAAAATTAGGTTTATTTACTACTTACACAGACTGACTGTGATCCTGTAAAGTAAAATGTATTTACATGTATTTTTCCAACTCTAAATGGGTCATCCTATTTGGCTCCTCTTTTAGGATTTGTCATGTATTTTTGCAAAGAACATTCAGAAAGAGAGTGATCTTCATTTGTTAAGTGGCTGATATGGTTTGGCTCTATGTCCCCACCTGTATCTCACCTTGAATTGTAGTAATCCATAAGTGTAAGGGTGAGACCAGGTAGAGGTAACTGAATGATGGGGGCAGTTTCCCCCATGTTGTTTTTGTGATAATGAGTGAGTCACACAATATCTGATGGTTTTATAAGTGTCTAGCATTTCCCCTGCTTGCTCTCATTCTCTCTCCTGCAGCCCTGTGAAGAGGTGCCTTCTGCCATAATTATAAGTTTCCTGAGGCCTCCCCAGCCATGTGGAACTGTGAGTTAATTAAACCTCTTTTCTGTATAAATTACCCAGTATCAAGTATTTCTTCATAGCAGCATGAGAACGGACTAATACAGTGGCTCTTGCAGCCATAGTGATACGTGGTAATCAACCTTTGTCTCCTTAACTAAACATCTGAATTCAAGGAACCAGGTGCAAATCCCTAGTGTGACATTCTGCAATGAATTCTGTGGCTCTGGTGCCAACACAAAAGCCTAGCTGGGCAGCAGTAAGAAGAAAACTGCAAATCAGAGCCACGTCCTTTCTATTTTTTTTTTTAATAACTCACTCCAATGAACCTATTGTCCCCGGGGTATTTCCAATTCCTCAATAGTTCAGCTTGCCACCTTTACCTTCATTTTAGTCTTCTTAGAATTTCACTTGATTAAATAATTGACAATATTTATCAGACAATGGGATGATCATTCTTGTCATAAATGTATCATCTTCATTTTCCAATTAGAGCTATGATTGTGATTTCCAGGCAGAAACATAAATTATGAATGTAATGTTGAAGTAAATAAACATAAAATAATTTATTTGACACATTTTTATAATAATTATATGGCATGTTTCTTTTTAGCTGTGTCCTCATGACTTCCCGAAGGCTCCACCTCCAAATACCATCACATTATTGGGGGACACAAATATTCAGTCCATAGCAATATTAGTTAAAATGCCTTACTGGAATTCGACTTGACTTCTCTGGCTCCTCCTGAGGAGAAAAGACAGGTCTAAGTGTAGATGAAACACCATCCAAGAAAATGTGCTTTGCTTCTTCTCCCTTTATAAGGGCCTCATATTAAGAGATTGTGTGCTAAGTTAGATTAACCACGTGTGAAGCCAAATTGGAATAGGCTGCTTTGAAATCACTGAAGCCAGTCCATTAGCCAGTCTACATTTGTGTTTGCCTTATGTGATGAATTTCATTGATGTGAGTTTATACTAATGGCTAATTGACAGTTCAAATAAGCAGGGTCAGATTAGAATTGAGATGTGAAGTGCAGATTAATGTTTGTCAAATTTGGGGGGTCATAGGAGCCCCTGTAAAACTTGCTAACACAAATTACTGGTCCTAAGAGTTTTTGATTTAGTCGATCTGGGCTAAGGCCCCAGAATTTGCATTTCTAGTAAGATCTCAAATGATGCTGATGTTGTTTTCTATGGACCATAGTATGAGTAGCACTGGCCTAAATAGCTTACAAAGGTTGCTGTGATACTAGCAGTTTTTGTCTAAGGAGATCAGAGAACACACGTCCCTCATTATGGTCTACGTGCTATGTCCCAGAGAATCACTTGTCTTCTTTTTCACAGTTATCTGTTCTCTATACTGTTTAGCATTCCTCTTTAGAAAGGATTTTGTCTGAGATTTTATTATTGCAATCTTTAATTAGCTCTCAGATATGCTCTGGATTACCACATAGAGGATTTGTGTCCTCACAGGTACACAGAGTACTGAAGAATAATTATTAAAGTACAGGCTGCTCGTGTTTACTTACACTTAGAAATTCTAGGATTTTCTGTTAAGGAGGCTTGTATTCCTTGTATGATACTTTAGCATAGCACCTGGCCTCATCCCTGGGACACAGTAGGTCCTTAAAAAACATCACTGTCAAATGAGAGGTGGTATGACTGAACAAACAGTTTTAGCATCATGATTAAACTGCTTTTAGACCTTTTCCACACTGATGGGGCAGAAAGAATGCTTTCTCATCTACTAAGACAAATTTTGTGCACTCGCTTGCTAAATGGTACTATACTATTGCTTTAGTAAAGTTGAATATGGCTTAGGGAGCTCTATCTGGGTGGGGAGTATATTTCTGACATATACTCAGAAGCAAATTATGGTTGGCAAAGTGGTAAAAATGCTTTTTCCTATTAGCCTAGCCCTGTCAAAGAGTTTGAATTAGGCCATTTTTCAAATTTAAGAATGTATTATATTCTCATTCTACATTTCTTTTGAACTTTCTGCAAATGCTTTATAAGCATTATCTTGTTTTTCCTTACAACACCACTCAGAGGTGTGTGACCAAGTAGTGTTATCCTCATTGTACAGGCACGTAGAAGTTAATTGACTTTCTTTGGGTCATAGAGAAGCAGGGAGAGCCAGCAATAAAAGAAACATTAGCCTGCTTCCTTAGAGCGTGAGCACAGTGGCTGCTGCAGAACTCCTAACCCTGCCCTTTCACCACTTAACAAAGAATATCCTTATCCAGGAGATTACCTGTGTGAAATGAGGCTTCTTGAGAAATGTTTGCATGGATTACTGTAGGCCCAACTTGGGCTCAAGTAGAAACATTCTGCTTGTGATTTCATAAAACATTTAAAAGCACATTTTAGAGTTAAAAAGAGATTTAGATAATCCAAATCACCAAGTAGTTACTGAAAACTTTCTATGATTTTGGTATAAAATTTTGTGTGTACCCTCTTAGGCACCTAGGCTAACACACAAAACCTCATTTCTTTTATAGTGTGCCCCAAATATCGTTGGGAGGCAGTCTGCTATGAGCCTCTTGTGCTTCTACGTGTCTTGCTACATATGCCAAAATCCCCAGATCCTGATCATTCTTTCACCCTGGCCACTTATCTAAATTGTTTATGCAGCTGACAGTTCTGCAAAGTGAAATAATGCCTCATAGGATTGAATTGCATTGTCCTGCAAAGTATTCAGTCTCTCTTTGGACAAAGAACAGGCCTGTTTACTGCTTGCTATAAAAGTGGCAGTTTTCTTAAGCTTGAAGTTTACAGCTGCAGTTCAACCCTTTGTTTGTGTAGCCATCTGGGCCCATGGTATTGCCTCATGGACTTTGGGGCATGGGGAACCATCAGAGATATGCTGATATGCTTGCTATTGCTTTTGCTGTGCTGAATAACTGATCCAGAAGTCTCATGTCTTCTGTCAAACAGTCATGGATCTGTGACAAACTAGTTTGTGTGTTCATTCCAGTGGAAATTCTACTGCTTCTAGCTCTCTTCCCCACTGTGAAACATATTTAAGTAAGGCAAAATCCCCATAGCTATACTTAGTTTCTTTCCAATAGACCCTTCCAAAACTTTAGGTTGTTTTATGGAATAAAATGTGGATGATGTGGATTTCAGCCACATTATGATGTTCAATGAATTAAATAATTCTTTAGAAGGATAAAATCGACATAAAATGAAATTATCAGAAGTGCAAGAGATTTGGCCCAGGAACTATGAAGACATATTTTCTGCCTCTCATGTCATTATTATTTTGTGTCTTGTAGAAGCAGTATTAGGGCTTCTGTGTCTCAGGCAGTATCACAAATGCAAATTTCCATGGTTGATAGCAGCTGAAGATGAACTCAGGACTGGGCTAAGGTAATACGGGCCAGACCAACAACAGCATTTGCTACAGTAAGACACAGTTGTAAGGTATCACTCTTTAGCTGTTGTCAGTGTTGTTGTGAGTTGCCTGAAAACAAGAGCTATGTGGTATTTATCTGTTTCTCTGCATCACCAGCCACAACGCCTTCAACTTAGAGGTGTTATTAAGCACCTGTCAAATAAATGAAACCAAATGCCTTATTGGTGGAGGATATATGTTATAGTCTGGAATAAATCTGCTTGGGTTCAAATCTTAACTCTGCCACTTAAAACTGCATACTTGGTCAATTTCTTTAATCTCTTGGTGTCCTTATCTATAAAGATGGCATAATAATATTACCTATCTCACGGAGTTGTGAAACTTAGTACTCAGCAAATACTTAATAGTTGTCAGTTGTTCTTGGCACAAAAACATTAGAACTGCATAGAACTCCAGTTCTAAAACATTCAAGAAAGAAAACTGCTCTTGATGATTTGTTCTAAATTGTTTATAGTAATTGTTGGTCCAAATATGATTTACATTGTAGTAAATTACAGCCATATTTTAAATCTTAAACCTCAATTCATTGTAGACCGTAAAACTCACCTTGTGCTTAGTTATTTTAAACGTGGATACATACTCTCTTGAGAGCTGGATGAAATTGTAATATTAAGCTAGATTTTCATCTCATAATTGTTACTCATCCTTTGGCAACATAAAAGTCTTCCCACTCTTTCATGTAAACATTTCCCCCACATTCACCACCTTGCACAAAGCATAGCTAATTCTGAGTCAAAATCAACACAGGCTGTCAATTCAGTATGCATAACATCTGGTTGCTTCCACATTTACCATTTGTCGTGGTGAAAGTTGTGTATTTCATGTAGAAAACCTGTCGTTGGGTCCTTTAAATCCTCTACAGTCCTCCTTCTTGAGGAGAAGGTTCCCAGACTCCTCTTATTGTTACTTAAATTTTGAGGTCTTCTAAAGAAAACTTTACTCCTAGATTGAGACTGTCTTCTTACCCATCTTATAGTTGTTTCAATTTACAACACTCTTGAAAAGCATATCTTGCGATGATATCTACAATCAACACAGATAATGTTGTATTACTGAAATTGCTGGAAATCCATTATGCCCTATATATGGAGTAAATGAGCAGCAAATCTACACAGCTGCTGCTAACTACTCTTTTAGACTTCCCTGTAGTTAAGTAATGAATCTTTTTCGACTTCCTGAATAATTTACTCCTAAATGCATTAAATTGAATGTAAAAGGAAGTTTTACAAAATGAAGACAAACCAGTTCTGGGAGTTGATGATAATCTTAAAACTTCTATAATGTTCTTCTTTTAAAAAAAAAATAAGCATGATTCAGTTTTTCTCCTCTGGTCTGAGCTTTAAGTGATGTAAAAACATTAGCTTTAAGAGACATTTAAAATAACAACATATCTATGGTTACTAGTAGAGTATAAAATTCAATTGAATATAAATAGGAGAGCAGATGCTTCTATAATTATAATAAAAACAAGTTGGCCATACTAATTTTACTTAAGTCAATATTTATCTTAATCTGGTATTTTAAAAATATCATCTATTTTAAAAAAATACAATAAGGAGGAAAGAATCAATTTTATAGGGTTATTAAAAATAATGAAATAATCACCTTGAACGAGGGGCTGGCCCTAGGCCAAACTTGTTATCAAAGCTTATCTTTGCAGCTATTCTCAATTTCATGTCTCCATTTTCAACAGCTCTTTGCTGTCCTAGTTCTTAATGATAATCTTTATATTATTCAAAACTCAGAGTTGGAAAGAGCCTTGAAAGTTCTTTAAGAATATTCCCTCATTAATTGATTAAGAAAATGAGGCCAAAGCAACCCAATTGACATATATATCTTAGATCAATTGACTAATTAATGGAAAAGGACAAGATTGAAATTAAAACAATTCCTTAAGGAAAAAAAAATCACAGCTTCATCTAATACACAGGAGCATCAAACAAAATCCTTTCTGGATAATCCTGGCAGAGGTTTTGCCTCAGTGTCCAGACCAAGTGTTCCCTGATAGACCTAACACACCTGAGCCTGGTTTTCCCCAACATGTCCTCATAAGTTTCCTGTCCTTTCATTCTCAAGTTGATGAATAAGTAATAACATATACCATAAAATGAGCAATAAGTAAACATGTCATCCCTCACACAGTCAATATTTATATTTTAATTAGGCTTTCTGTGTACACAGATATTTAATAAAAAAGGAAAACATCTCCACTGCCATTTCAGGGAATTTGATAAACATACAAAGAGCATTTTGAGAAGGCTAGCTACTCAGTAGCTCTCAATTCATGACTATCAGGAAGATAACAACTGAGGCTACTGCAATAACTAATGAGGCGATGCATTCAGCCTGCTTACAAGAAAAGGTTACAGCTGTGTTCCAGTGAACAAGTAACAATTATTCACACAGCACAACTAAAACTGTACAGTTTACCATCCTTAATCACTGGTGCCTATGTTGCTTTGTGAAGACTGGTTTGTTCTCTTTACATAAGATGCGGATTTCTGAGAGTCAAATACTGAATTTTAAAAGACCTGAGTCAAAAAAACAACATGTCAGTACAATTAAATCCTACTCATGACTCTAACAGAGAATAGAAATCATCATCCATTGTTGCCTAGTCTCTTGGCTATTTCAATTTTATTTCCATTCCATCATTTGAACCATCAAAAAGTGATTCTGCACAATACCCTTATTTTGTCGCTTATCAAATTGTCACGATTGCAATTGTCTGTTTCTTTGATTATACTTTCCCAACAACTGTGAGCTGTTTGAGGACTGGCACAAGGTTGATTAACTATTTATCTCCAGTTTCTAGCACAGCACCCAGAACAGAGTAGGAGCTCTTCAAAACTTTTCTGCTTAATAATCTACAATAATTATTTTGGTAAATAAGAAAAAATTATATATTCACACAGTGAAACTTGCAATAATGATCAAAGAAGCCAGCTTTCCTTATTTATTAATGTTGTTCTGATTTTATGTTGGCTTCTAATTCCTTTATAACATACATTTTTAAAATACCAAGTTTCTACTTAAGTTGGAAATATTCCCATCCCCATTCGACAGAATAATTTAAGTTTAGTGATTCACTTGTTTACACTTACCAAAAATAGACATGCCAATTTATCATATAAAGTGAAATCAATTATTCTGACTTAATAAACAGAATAAAATCTAATTGTGTGTTCTTAAGAAAAAGACAGAAGAAAGTAATAACACCAGGCATTATAGTCTTCTATTCCTTTGATCTTTCAAATGAAAGCAATAAAATTCCCTTTCCCCAACCAAAGTCCTTCTGATAACAGAGCAAAAAGGACAGGTCACATACAAACAACATTCAGTGATGTCTATAGGCAAAATAATTCACCATACAAGTTCTGTCTATGATGAAATATGGGAACAATAACCTGTTTTTTACATACAAGGCATAAACTGAGGACATTATATTCACAGATAAATTTATTTTCTTACAAAATTAATTGACAAAATTCTAATACACACACACACACATACACTTGTCAACAAATCAACCCCTTTACCTTTGTTTAGCCGCATCTCAGCTGGTAATCAAAGGCAAAATTTAACCTTGACATTAGTGAACTGTATTTATTTGTAAGGGGAAAAATAGTGATTTACTTTAACTACCTTGAAACTTTTGTTAAAAGGAAACCAATTGCAATGTGCTTAGCCCAAATTTGCTTGTTTAAAAGAAAAATAGAAAGTTTTGAGGGAAGGTCATCAACATTAATAGGCCATTTAAAATCCCTAATTTGAAATGTTTATTTGAATTAATCAAACAATAAAAATTGATATAGAGTACTAGAGAGAGAAATAGGCAGAGAGTCAAGAAACTTAATTCTAGATATGTCTTGGTTACTAATTAAGTATATGGCCTTGAGCAATTTACTTAATTTAGTTGGTCCCCACCAAGTACTACTAATTCTTTTCAGCAAATATTTCTCAGTCCTGTAAGGATCTTTAATATCTACATGATTACAGGTTGACAGCTGCTTTCACTGGCTTTAATCTGCTGTCTCTCTACCTTCTTTTGGACCACAAACTGTGCTTCCTCCCAGTCCTACTGCTGTTTTTCACACCTCTGCCAGGACAATTTTTTCCATAGAGCAAATCTCACTCAGCAATTCAAATGCTTCAAGGACATGCTATTAGCTATGAGATACATGTAGACCTCTCACCTAAGCCAGCAAGCCCCTCCATGACCTGGTCTCTGCCAGCCCATTTATACTCCAGTCTATCAGTCCCCATATGCAGTAAGCTATCAGCTCACATGGAATCACTAGAATAATGTGCCACTCCTTTTACACCTCGCCACTTGCTGTTCCTTCTCAGTATAATGCCCCTCTGTCATTTATCTTGCTAAATTGTTTTTCATCCTTCAAGACTCAATTTAAAAGCCACTTTGTCTGTGGAGTCTCCCCTGACCCATTCAGAAAAATCTTATTATAGGTAGATTGAACTGATCTTACATCTCTGTTCTCATAGTTTGTTTGTGTGTGTGTGTGTGTGTGTGTGTGTGTGTGTAAACTATTCCTTTAGATGGTCATTTTATTTTTATTCTCCATCATTACACCATAAATAATGTTTAATTGTATATCTCCCTTTAAAGACTGAGATTTTTGAATGTGAGATTTTTGTCACTTTTGTTTTTGTCTCTGTCTTCATCTTCTTGAATAATACAGTATCTTACTCAATGTAGGCATAAAATATGTGTTACTACAATCAATAAATGGAACCTGTTGTCCTATTTGATAACACGAGGTGTCAATGAGCGCATGCTATGGGCTGTGATTGTGTTTCTTGGAGTCTCTGAATAACCTAAAATTTTGTACATGGATGCGCTTATCCATATGACCATGAAAATGTCAGTAGTTTTATCAGGTTTCCAAACAGATCTATTACCCAAAGATTACATCTAGTTCTAATATTATATGAGTCTAAATTTAAATTTATAAACCAACCTCAAAGTACAATAATACAATTACCTCTAACCAGACTCTTTCTACCCAATAATTCAAAAGGCCATTAAAACAATCCCTGATTCTGCCTTCTTCCATCGAATCTTTACCTTGCCATTTTGTTAGCCCAAAGAGGCAAAAGCAGAAGTAATGCTACACTTTGCACTGTTGTTTTAGCCTTTGAAGAATATTGTAGTCAGATTGGTGCTGCAGAGAGATTTAAGGAGAGAAATAGACCAAGAAATTTCAACATGAGAATCTGAGTAACAATTTATCTTATGTTGGTCAGTTTGATTAAAAGTGTCTAACTTTGTATCCATAATTTCCTACTTGTCCTCAGACAATTCGTAGAATTCAACAGAATATTCTTATTGACGTTCAGCATTTAAGAAACAAATTTTCAGTTTATGATGATATTGAGACTCAAACTAGTATTCTACTTGGAAAATTGCTAGTTTCTGTTTGCTAAAAGAAAAATTTTGTTCTCTAATTCTGAATTGAATATTTTTCATCATTGTCTTAAACTGGAAGTTTTATTAACAAATGCATAAATATATGCTTTACAAAATGCATGCTTTTATAAAGTACTTTCTAGATGCAATTAAAATCTTTATTTTATAGCTCATTTTTTTCTAATAAGATCAAATAAATTGTAATTTATTACATGTTCTTGTCATGATCCTGTTTACTTGAATTTCTTTAGTCTTGTGGCAGTATTATCATATACATTGACTTAATTGTAGAATGTGAACAAAAATATACTTATAATTTTTGTGTGGAAAAAACATTTATCATATAATAGTAGCCACATATTTATTTTGTAAAAGTGGCTTGAAATATAATTTGTTGGAAACATAAACATGAACTGTGTTATATTGGAAATTATAATGTTTTCATCAATTAATGTCCTTATATTAACTATCAATCACCAATGCAGCCTAAAAAACAGCTCTAGGACATTGTAAAGAAAAATATCAAATTTACTGTTACTTAATGTTTTGAAAATGCAGATCAAGTTCATATATTGAAATATTACCCCCATACTAAATATTAAGCCTCCTATTTTGTGAACTGCTCCCAGAGACATGGCTATGCCCTTAATTAGTATACAGGCTCAGTGTATTTACTATTCTTGGCTTAGAGTAAGAGATAAAATAGAAAACAACTTTGGAATATTATACTTTTCTACTCCATTCATAATTATTTCTTAAACTAAAAATACTAATCAATATCGTTTACACATTTTGTGTGTAAGTGTTTTTTTATTTTGAAGTCATCTCTTAACCTTGTTCAACAGATAACAGTGGCCACTGTGGTTGAAGAACTTAATTCAAGCATTTGGATTGAGGCTCAGGGCCATTTCTCCTTCATTGATACTCCTTTGAAAAACACTGGTATGGATCATTGATAACTTCTGGCTGGTACCAAGTCGTTCAAGTAGAAACATAAATAACAGTCTTTAAGTGAATTCAAACTTTCAGGTACAGCTAAAAATATACCTTCAAAAATTGAACTCTATTAAGTTAACTTAATTCTGATTTTTCTATTTACTGTAAGAATAATCTTTATTCTCTTCTACAATGACTTCAGATGTTGAGAAATAAAAGGAACTAGTGATCTCTCAATGACATCCCAAAAATTGATTGCGGAATTTATGCTAAAAGATGTTAGAGATTATTCTATATTACATGAAGGCATTGCTATCTTTCTATATTATCTACTCCAGAGTCTTTCCTGATGAATGAGAGAAAAGAGAATACATGAAAGCAAAATTACATCTAATTTCTCAAAGTCTCTACAGGATCTCTGATAACTCTATGATGTACTTTCTGATTGTTTTAATTACTCAACTCTTCTACAAATATTTAGTCAGGCTCAGCTCAGCCCTTGACAGCCAGCTTACTGGTCTCCCCCTGCCAACATACAATGCACATTGAGCATTTACTATATGCCAGATTCTATTCTAGGCACTAGGATATGAAAATGAATAAAACATTAAAAACCTCTTGCCTTCATAGAACTTACATTTTAGTAGAAAAAAACTGTCAACAAACAATCATAAATTTAAAAATACCATACACAACTATATGTACATACTATCACTGTATATGGTGTATATATTTGTATGTGTATATGTTTAATAAATGCTATGGGGAAAATAGATATAAAGCAGGGAAAGGTGAAGGTTGCAGGAAAAAGGATTGTAATATTTTACATAAAGTGGTCTAGTAATGCCTCTTTTGGGTGACATTTAAGGAAAGATCCCAAGGGAATGAGGATAAGCTACACAGATAGTTGTGGGAAGAGAATTCTAGAGAGAGAAAACAGTGAGTGTAAAGACCCTGATAAAAGAGGTATGTGGAGTGTTCATGTTCCAAAGAACATCCGAGAGGCAGTTGTGCTTGAGCACAGTGAGCCAGGGTCAGAGTCTTAGGAGCAGAGATTGATGAAGTATTGGTCCAGGGCATGCTATGCTAGGCCTTCTAGGCCACTGTAAGAACTACTGCTATTTTTACTTTTATTTTTTCAGTAATATGAGAAGCTGTTGGAGAATTTTTGGTTGAAGAGTAACATGTTCTAACTCCTGCTTTAAAAGGTTCACTCTGGCTTCTGTGTTGGGAATTAGGAGTAGAAGAGGATCAGGACAGGCAAATACGGACCAGTTAGTAAGCCATTGCAATAATACAGAAAGAAGGCATGGATGGCTTGGGCCAGCGTAACAGGAGAAGGAGGTGGTTGAGCCAAGGTCAGATTCTGAATCTATTTAGAAGGGATCTTATAGAATTTTCTGATGGCTTGAGTGTGGGGTCTAAGACAAAAATAAACCTTATCTTTTTGCTAAACTATAAAAACATGATTGTGGAAAATCTTTTGTAAATAAAGTTCTGGACATATGCAGCAGTTTACTTATAAGACTGTAGTATAAAAAGTCTTGGTATGAAAATATTAATAAGTGTCACAATGAGAAATGCACCTGGTAAAATAATCAAGAAAAATTATTTTTTTAAATAAAATAAATATTATTTATACACACACACACACACACACACACACACACCCAGTTTTCTGTGACAGAACAAAAATATCAACTGGAAGTGATATTTTTTTAATTTTAATTTTAATGTTCTGATTATAGTACAGAGTTATAATAATATTTAATATATTATACTGCATCCTAGTAAATTTAGAACTCGAGTAATTTCTTATATCCTACGTTTTATATTCAAATATATTTTGAATTATTAAATTGGGAAGACTAAATAGCCTCACTCAGGGTTTAAAACCAAGAGTCATATACCACTAAGATATGTTAAGGACCATTATGTCTGCTGTGGTTGTAAAGCATATATAGTATCTATTATAATTCAAAATCCCACACTCTCACTACATTATTCCCAGGAAAAGCTATACTTAATTTTCAAAACTATTTGGAGTTTTGGGTAATCGTAATTTAAATAAATAAATAATTTGCTTTTTAAAAGACTGAATCAAATAATTGGAGAGAAATATGTCTCTGCGTGTGTGCGTGAGTGTGTGTATGTGTATGTTTAAGTTTTTAGTGCAATTCAACACAAAGTTTAGTTCCTGAATTTTGACAGCTAAAAAGAAAAGAAAAGCACCATTAGCTATGTCAGTCTCATTAGCTAATAAAATAAAATACAAATCAAAGCTATTTAGGGTCCGTAAGTATTTTGGTAGGTCCAAACTGAGGAAGTTATTGTATCAACTTTTAAATAACCAAATAGTGTTTTTAAAGGTGTTTCATAAAAAAATTGGATTCAATTAATTTGACAAACTTTTCTTGATATCCATTTTTATACCAGGTTAGGGGGTGAGATAAAGAAAAAGTATATACAAGATCTTGCTATAAAAACCAACAGTTTAGTATTGTAAGCTGTTAAAGGGGGAGGAAGGAAGATTCAGAAAAATAAGAGAATGTTTTGCAGGTGGTAACTGAAACAAGTGCTAGGTAAGTAGGTTAGATGTTTTTACAAAAATGACAATTATTTCTGAAAAGTCTTAAGTTAATCAGAGGCTTATTTGAAATTGAATTTTTAAAATAATTTCATTCTGGCAATGTATGAAGGGTGGTTTGGATAAACGCTGAAATTGAAATCAGGAAAGCCAGATATCTATTCCAAATATTATATATCCAAAAATTTATATTCAAATTGGCCAAAATTACTCAAAGTATGGATCCCCAGAGGCCTGCATCACAAACATCTGTTGCTACGAAGTCAGAGAGAAGTCTGACTCCTTGCCAGAAATGTATGTGCGATGTTTTTAGACTTGACTATAAGCAATAAAAAAGTCTTTACCTAACAAGTCACACAGGGAAATGCTGTTCTTCCCCACCAGACATGGTGCACAGCCAATGCCTTGTAGGCTCTGAAGGGAGTTGCTGTCAAAGGTTCAGACCTCCTGGACAACCATGCTCTTAAACATAGTTGGGTTCATGGCCTAGGTGCCGCCATTTGGAGTCCTCTGTATTGGGAGTCTTCAGCAGAGGCCATCCTCAGTAGAGGCCATCCTCTTCAGCAGAGGCTGCTCTGACTTAATACTCAGCACTTTGACACCCCTAGTCGTTTCCTCCTACCCCCTAGTCCCTTGGTCTATAAAACTGCAGATTTTGTTCTGGATGTCCACGTCTGTGCTGATGTACCTGACCCTCAACTGGTGCCCTTCCATGGAGGGAAAATGGAACACAAAGGAGTCTTGTCTCAGGGGAGTCTGCTGAGTCAGGCTCAGCTCAGCTCAGCCCTCTTCTTAGAGGCAGCTTACTTGTCTCCCCTCAACATACTGCTTCAGGATTTGTAGCAACTGGCTCAGGAATCTGCATGTTTAATAAGCTTTCCAGGTAACTATTCTGCATACTTGAGTAAAACTGCTGATCAAATCAGTAGATGGAAGGAGTCTGAACTCAGCCATTGGTTGTGAATGAAGAGAAAGAATGACAGAGATATTCAGGGTCAGTGGGAATTAAAATGTTATCAACAGTGTGGAAGTGGGAAAAATGAGTGAAAAACAAACTTGCATCAACCAAAAGGAGACATAGAGGAGAAGCAGCAGTGACGACACACTGAATTTTGAGATATGTTCAGGAATATATTTTCATCAAGCAGTTAGATAAGTGGATACATAAACTTAGATCCTAGGAAAAGTCTGAGATGTGAGATAATAATTTGGAATCAGCAATACGTGTTAAGAGAAGAGGGGAAGTTAAAAACACAACAGTAATGAGAAAATCAAGAATACAATATAGAGTGAAAAAAGACAAGGGTACCTGATGAAACTCTGGTGTTTTAGTTCATTCTCATGCCCAAGACTGGGTAATTTATAAGGGAAAAAGTTTAATTTACTCACAGTTCATATGGCATCGGAGGCCTCAGGAAACTTACAATTATGGCCGAAGGAGAAGCAGGCACGTCCTCCTTCTCATGGCAGCAGCAAGAAGTGCAGAATGAAGGATGTGGGAAAGCCCCTTATAAAACCATCAGATCTTAGGAGAAGTCACTCACTATCATGAGAACAGCATAGAGGTAACCGCCCCCATAATGCAATTACCTCTCACTGAGTCCCCCGCACAACACATGGGGATTATGGGAACTACATTTCAACATGAGATTTGGGTGGGGACACAGCCAAACCTTATCACCTGGAGAGCCATTTGTCAAATAGGCAGAAGAGTCCATTGGCAGCTGAGTAGCATGGCCACCCTTGAAAGCTTTTCTTTTGTGGCCTCTTGACAAATATAGCTTCATAATGTGAAACTGTAATTATGTAAAGGCATTTATTTAGATAACTCAAGTAAGGTTTCTCAGCTACATAGCATTTTGGAGATCTGACTTCCAAAAGGAATAAATGAATAATGATTCCTTTGGGTTTCCTCCATTGGACTGCTGAGTATGTCAACTGAACTTTTCATAGGAGATAACTGCACAGTAGATAATTCAAAATTAAGACACTAATTGACAATGGGGATTTGGGTTTCCATGACTCTACTCACTGAAGTGATGGCATAAGTATCTCTATCCTTAAATCAACATTTGTCATTATCTTTTATGGTTTCAACTGAGATAAATAATTGATAAGTAAACTAAAAATTTGCTTGGGAAACATTTAAATTTAATGAACTTCTTAGTAACATCCTCTGGTGTCTGTTTAATAAGTCCTCTTGGAGACTATTCTTGGTATTTCTTTCTCCTTTTCAATCTTTCAATAAATTGCATCAGCGATTTTTATTTCCATGTTGAAATAATTGTTGGACTATAAGCACCCTAAAATACATTCCAAATAAACACTAAAAGGTTATAAAATTTATAGGGAAGAATGAGCCTGGAGTAGTTTATAGTATTAAATTTCTTTTAAAGAAATTATTAATAATATTAATAGGATGTTCAAATGCCCCAGTTTGCCAGGGACTAAGAGGGTTCCCAGGGTGGGTGACTTTCAGTTTTTAAAGTGGAAAAGTTCCTCGCAAACAGGACTAGTTGCCCACCCCATTAAAATATCCACAGATGTTGGAAATTTCATTTGTATTGTGACACACACACACACACACACACACATAGAGAGAGAGAGAAACACACACAGAGAGAGCGAGAGAGCGAGAGCGAGAGAGATTGCTATTTGTCTCACAAAGTGTATACTCACCTTTAAAAAATAATGGAATTTAGTTTGACATATAGCAACAAACTAAAAACACTTTTCAGCCTCCTTTGCTGCTATGTGTGGCTAGGTAAATATATTCTGGCTAATGAGATGTGAGTAATAATGATTTGTGAAACTTTTGTCTTATGTTTTTTAAAAAGAATTTGCTACCTTCCATTAACTTTACTCTCCATTCCACTAGCTGAGAATTGATGACATCTGGGGTAGTTATATTGGATCCAAAGATGGGAAGTCATGTTTTGAGAACAGAAGGGCTGCCCCAGCAGCACTGGGTGTCTCATATTTAAATAGTTATTATATAAATGAAAAACGCATGCATATTTTATTTTGAGGTCTCTATTTTATAGCAAGTTTTCCTGTACCCTAAAAAAGATGGTCTTTTGTTGTTAAGAACCTTGGCTTCTGATATTCTTGATTCATTTCTTTTTCTCTTTTTCTCTTTAGGTCTGTAAGGGCGGATGTTCTTCTCTTCCTCTTCTTTGTCAGTGACCACTTTTATTACATTCTATATGTATCACTAGATAAGTTCCTTGGATATATTAGTTGGAAGAGATAAAGAAATTTAGAAAATCTTGTTTTCCTTTTAACAAAGCATATCTTATAAAGTTGTTGTCTTGCTTAGTACTGACATATTATACGTTTGATGTGAGCATATCCTTGCATTTCTTCTGTATTATAATGCCTTGGAATGCAGTTGCTTCATGCTGGGTAGATGAAGTGGGGGTCATGGATTGGGGAAATATTTATAAGACAACAATAAAGACAATTAAGACATTCTTGGCAGAAAAATATAAAGAATGATGTGCTAGGTTCATTTTTGTTAAGCAAAAAACAAAAAACAACAAAATAAATCTGAAAGACAGGATTTGCAAATTGACCCACACAGACCTCTTCACTCAAATTTGTATCTGACCAAGGCAGTGAGCTTCCTTACTTGAGAATGTCACCTTCTCCAGGGTCAAGAAGAAAGGTCTTGAGGACCTAAACTCCGGAGCCAGTGCAGGTGGGTGGTGCCCTTGGAAAAAGTGTTTTCTAACTCACAAGACCCAGGCTGAGACCTGATCCAGATCTCAGATGCCTCCTTTGCACAAAACATAACGTGGATGCCCAGCAACAATTGGGTGAACAAAATGGGTTCATTCAAAGCTCATTCTGTTACGGTCATTATTTCTATTTCTTGCATTCAACAAGTCCCAGGTCAGGAGTTTTGGAATGTCTCTCTGGCTGAAGAATGAAGAAGCATATTATAAGTCTAAACCATGTAAAACTAATAAATCAAATTATTTCTACCATAAACTCAGATGTAACCTTTCTAATTTTTTCTATAACTGGGATTAATTTCTATTTCGAGGTTCATTTCCATTTATGCAGAAAGCGTGGTCTTGTCACTTAATCATTTAGGTAATTTTCCTCAGTCTTATCATCTTTGATTTAATTCCATTTTGAGATTCTTTCTTCCCTCATTTTTTTTCAGTGGCATCTGGGTTCAGTAGAGACATACCTGCTGTCACTGTATGGGGTAGACCATCTTTATCAGTATCGATACATACTAATTCCTTCTGTGCTGTAACTCATCCATTTTTGCCCTAAGTTGCTCATATCTCTGCATTGATATCAATTGAAATGGTTGCTTGCAATCCAATCAAGACTGGAGGTAGGCATCTGAGCAGCATCCTACAGTGTAGAGTCCTCTTGCTCCAGCAGTGACAATAAAGAATACCTCTTGACTTTCCTTCTTTGGCTCATCTCTAAGATCAGCTCAGAAGTTTATTTACTCTTCTCATCACTCACCCCAAGATCCCCTGGATCCGTGAGACCATCCCCTGAACACTTCATATGGAACTTCTTCTGGTCTAACTACCCCCATCACCCAAACATACACGTGAAAGTACAATCCCCTATATTCTGGGTCTACCAAAACTATCCATAATCAAACATAACTAATACTTTCTATGTAAAATACTATTTACCATGTCCCAAATTAGATAATTTTATTGTTCCACTTTATGAAGGCAAGGGGATTGGAATCTGGTTAACACATTATTCTTCGTATCCTACTCTTTGTTTCAGGACCTAGCTCTTGGATATTGAAATTCCAGAGTTAACTCTTTTTTTTCCCCATTGTATTCATGAGTGACTTCTCTGCTCATGGGGCAAAAAGGCTGAGTGCCAATTTGAATGAGAAAGTGACCAATTATGCTAAGAATTTGCAATCCCAGAAAACTACATTACAACTTCATATGTCATCCTACCACTTGCATTTTCTATTTCAATCGTGCATTCTAATAAATAGGCCTCTGTGCACAAGCCCAGTTCTCAAGAGTATTACTGTGCTCATCTTTGTGCAGAATAATCAGGTGAGTAGTCAAGATCCTCTCTTCATGTAGATCCAACCAGGGCAATTGTCACAGATAAGTATGTAGAATAGGTTTTGTTTTTGTTTTTATTTACAATTCTTCTTTCCCACCCTATAATTTTCCTCCTCCAATGAGAAATTAAATTTACATTTATACTTCATAAATAAAAAGTTGAAATTCAACGAGGAGCTCATGCCTGTAATCCTAGAACTTTTGGAAGGTCAAGGTGAGAGGATCAGTTGAGGTCTGGAGTTTGATACCAGCCTTGGCATCATAGCAACACCTTGTCTCTACTAAAAAAAAAAAAAGAATAATAGTAACAGTGATGGTAGTGTGTACCTGTAGTCCCAGCTACTAGTGAGACTGAGGCCAGAGGATCACTTGAACACAGGAGGTAGAGACTACAGTGAGCATTGCTCACGCCACTGCACTCCAGCCTGAACAACAAAACTAGCCCCTGTCTCAAAACAAAGAAAAAAAAAGGTTGAAATTCATGTTGCTTCTTTTCAGTAAATCATGAAATCTAAATATAGACGTGCTCCCTATTCCAAGCAAAATATTCATTTTTTTCTTTCCTGTAAAAGAACAATCTTACGCTGCTAGGGGTAAGGAGATGTATAGAAGCTAACAGACGATATCTTAGTGACCATTGACTCTAGTGGGCTCATTTTATTCTTGGAGATATTTTAGGCATAGCCCTTGGCTTTGGGTGAGGACATTGTTAATGATTTGTATATAGTAGTATTCCCCAACACACACCCTTGAAAAGGGCAGCACTGCCTTACTCAGGTCTTTTTATTGGGATTCTGCATAAGATTTTGATTGGAATTTTTTTCTATCTTAGATATAGTTTACACAACTATAGTACTTTGCCATTGAAAAAATTGAGTTTTTTTCTGCCAAAGTTACAATCAAGTTACTTGACTTAAATATAAAGTTTAAGATTTAAATAGAACCTGCTAGGGAAAACTAAATAACCAGTAAACTGTTAAAGTTATATTAATGAATTACATTAATTTCCAGTAGTAATTAAATGGTTTTAATTAGATGTAAAAGTAACATTTAAAAATATATAACTTCAAATCATTTCTCTTTTCAGTGCTCTTGGCAAGAAAGTAATATTTATCCACAATGCCAGAATTGGAAGTACTAATTGGTCTTAATTTTAATTTACTTAAATCTAGGTAAACTATAATTAAATTGAAAATCAATAGTTAAAATAATCAGGAAATCTTGTTAATTTAGGAGTGAAACTAATTTTATTCTCTACCATTTTATACAACTAATTTATGAAACTAATTGCATATTAAATGTAGCCTACCAGACTTTATTTTTATTTTAAGCAAAATCTACACGATGGCAGACATAGTGTAATTATTTTAGCTGTGTGAATGTATGTAACTATTACTTGCAAACTACTTAATAATTTTGGAATTATATGTAAAGTTATTCATTCCATAGTAAGGATCAAAAATATCTGGGCAAGGATATTCCTGTATCAAAAGAGGGTCTTTAAATAAAACCTCATAAAAATACTACAATATTGAATGCCTTGATTTTAAATAAACTGAATACATTGATACAGTAAATAAGACCATTTTCCAAAAATCAATTGAGGTAGAGAGCAGAAAGTTTCAAAATTTTTTGAGCAAAGAAAGTGATTTCAATATAAAACTTCTTTAGAAATTTAATTTAAGAATTTAGTTTAATGCTGTATTATAGATGCAATTCCAAAGAACAGTGATTGCTAGGTTTGGCTGTGTAGGAGGTAAGGTGTTTTCTATTTTCTTGTTTTGATGTATATTGATTTTAAAGACACTTTTAATACCTTAATAATTTTTAACTTTTTTGCATCTGTAATTACAGCTCTTCTCTGAATAAGACTTGCCCAAGTTAAAGCTTCCCTGAATTCTTTCTTGAACACCAGTGCTAGCCACCATTATTCCGTGCACACGTCTGTTGCAATCTACAGAAATAGTGTTCCAGTTGCAATTCATATTCCACATATGTCTCTGTAGGGATCTTAGTTAAGACTTGCCAGTCAGGATTCTCATCTTATATTGCATGACCCTTAATTTTTGTAGCTGCTGTGGGTAATTTTTCACTAAGATTTCTCATGTGCTTTTACTTTTCCTGACAGCTCCAGGTAGATTTCAAGTCTAAATATTTAAACGTTCCAAATTATAGACTTTCAAAACTTAACATGCATATTAAGGGGCTCTTTAAAATGCAGGGTCTGATTCAGTAGGTTTGGTGTGGAGCTAGAGATGCTGCATTTGTAATCAGTTATAAGTGATGTAGATGCTGCTGGTCTATTGATCATACTATTTAGTATCAAGGTTGTAGATGGTAGACATCCCTTGACTTCTGCTTAGTAAATGTCCTGAAATAAAATATTTGAATTTTTTTGAACAAGCATTCCTGTTGATTCTGATACTGGTGTTAGGCTGGACAAATTTTGTGAAACACTATGCTATATTATCTGCCACTTGCTGAAAGATTCCAGTTTCTCAGTTTTTATCCATGGTTCCACTTGACCTGATTACCGTGATATCAATGTAAAAGAATTAGGAAAAGAAATAACTTCAACTTGCTTTTTGAGAAAAATATTTTTATTTGGTAACAGTTAATCCTAATCTTAATATTTTAGGTTTTTGAAGGCCATATGATTTATGTTGCAACTATTCAAACTCTACCACTGTAGTTTGAACACAGTCATACATCATATGCAAACAAATGGGTGTGCCTGTTTTCCAATAAAACTTTATTTCCAAAACAGGAGGCAGACAGATTTGGCCTGAGGACTGTAATTTGCTCCCCAGCCCAACCCACTGTGTATGTCAATCACACACAGCATATGCATACTTTATTCAAAATGCATTTCAAAATAGAACCTAGTTTATGGCTCAATTGCTATGTTATAATTAAAAAATAACTATTATGACTGTAATTATGTTAAATATAAACACAGGATTACATTTTAGCATATAGGACCTCATCCAAAATTGACTTCCACCTTGTAAGATCCCCACTATTATATAAATGGGAAAATGGAGACTCAGGTTAAATAATTTTTCATTATCACATCTTTGAAGAATAGAAGAGCCAGGTCCTGAGAAAGCCTCTTGGCTCCAAATCTGTTGTTTCTAAGCATTTGATTTTATTGAGGTCATAACAGAGTGAATGTAACTCCATGAGTTTGAGAAGGCTTACTGACTTCATGAACTAATAAAAATCTTTAACTCTTATATTGTCTTACAAATTAGATATATCATATAGTTACCATTTTGCATTTCATGAGAATTGAGTTTTCTGGTGTCAGATAAAAATTTCTTGCACAAGTTTTACACTGTTAGTTTTGGAGATAATTTTATTTTATTTATTGTACTTTCAGGCATTAAATATTTACTGATTTAATGAAACCTAGATGGAGTAGAATAGAAAAACATGTATTTTTGCATTCTCAAGGAAAATTTCATAATAGGAAAAGTACAATGACCCAAGGGGCTTTGGAGATCAAAAATACTTCTTGACTATTTTTAATTTATTTTCTGTGAGTAGTATGAAAAAAAATTTTTTTACTATCTTCCTTAAAAGAAGTCTTCAGCAAAATGTATAGTTCTCTCTAATGCATTTTTTAAAGTGGATTGTGTTAGGAAACCTGAAGAAAATAGGAGTTATATATTTGAGTTGAGAAGCAAAAAGAGACTGCTTATATTGAGGAATGATAGATGGCTGACGTCAAAGTCCTAATTGCGGTTTCCAAGAAAGGACTGATAAAGCTTGCTTTTCTCACCCTTCCTGCACCACTGTGGCTACAAGGTGCATGTCATATTTGACAAATGCTACTTCTCCCTCTCTTTGTCAATATGGGGGCAGCACTGATCTCAGAAAAATCAGGAGGTAGAGACCTGAATATTTAAAATAGGTGTTCCTATTTCTCTTTTCCTTACGACAATATTACAAGTAATAAAATACTTGAGCCGAGATTCGAATTTAAGCATGTACAGCTTCCACTAAAAAATAATAACTCCTATTTTGTCTCCTATTAAAATACTTAAATTGAAACATAAAAACCAATAAAACATGCAAAAGTTGATACGTTTTAGATATGTACGCACACGAGAAATGAGTAGGAGGTTTGTTCTTCCAAATTTGAAAAATTATTTTAGGGTCATTAGTTAAGACTGAACGTATTCTTTGCAAGAAAATTGAATGCTTTGTGGTCAATTATTATAGAGAAAAGTATTATTGGAAGCTGTTGAAATGTAATTACAGAAAGGAGAATTAATTTATTTGCTTAGAGAGTAATTACATGAATAAAATCTCATTTTCATTTTTAATGAAGTTATAATTTTAAACATTTACTATAAAATTAATAACAGGGGTTCAGACCCACTGATCTGCAATTTGTTTGAAGGTTTCATTATTTATTTCTTATGTTGTTTCCTCAAAGCACTTGAGTGATTTTATTTTCACTAAAATGTGGGTATTCTAAGTAACAAGATCTTGCTACATGTTGCTTAAAAAGCAATAATAAAATATGCTCCAAAAATTTATTTAAAAGTTATTTTCCAAATTCTAGCAACAAAATCATTTAAAATTTAAGATTATTTATAGAAAAATATAATTAAAAATTACACACGTAAAAGTATAGAATTTGTTATATAAACAAGAGTATTTCCTGAATGAAACTGAGTAATATGAATAAATTCATCCCAATTTAGTCTTGCAGGTTAAAAAATTATGAGTAACAGAGACTTCTAATAAAAAGTAGAAAACCGGTTATTCTTTTCAACTTTTTTTCATTTAAATTATTTTTGCTTTCCCTGTTCCTCTTCCTTTTCGCTCTATCTGCTACCATCACAAATGGGAAATTTTCCTCAGCTTTCCTTAAAATTCAACCTAGGAGTTCAACATGGATGGCAATAGGCACTACCGTTTCTGCTAATGCATTGACTGGGTCTTAGAGCATTTAACTAGATTATCTGAAGGATGTGGAAGTAGTTTGCTTCAAAGTATGATATCAATCTATAACTTTATTAAGGTGAAAGAGAATAAAGCTAATAGACTATATTATTTCTGTGTACATTGGCACGACTATCATCTATAGTGCATGAAGAGGAGTAATGCCCACTGGAAGAAAAATATATTTATATTTGGTGGAATTTGAGAAAGTGTTGAAGTGAGATATAGAAGGGACCTTGAGAATTTAATTCAACCTCCTTTCATCTCATGAGTGAGAAAATTGTCGCTCAGAGAATTCAAACCTGCTCAAGGTCACACTGCTAGTTCTCTTTCACTTTTTGGCAGGGAGAATGACAATTGTCTGAAAAGAAAGTATTTATTTAATAATAATGATAAGACATTCAAAGATATGAGGAGTTGGCAACTTCTGAACAGCAGCATGGCTGTGAGGTTACCCTTTCTGTCTAGTATACAGAAGTGAGAAAATGTCTTCCACATGTTGCTTTTTACAAGAAATAGAGAAACATTTCAAACTAGTTACCAGCTTTCATTTTAATAGAAACTCCTACAAGCAGCTAGGAAACAGGGGTAACTAGTTTACACTCCATTGGAAATTGATGACTTTGGTACACAAGCTAATTAGATTGTTTTCCAGTTAGTTGCTTTTACCAACAATTTAGGAGATAGTGTTTCAATGATACTTTGAACCATTTGTCCTCGTTTATAGATTTTTAAATTTCATACATCATTATGCCCTTATGCACTGTGATTAGCAAACCAAATTTTAGTCTGATTCCACGTTTAAACCTTTGTGTTTTTCAAGTACATTGTGTTTTTCAAGTACATATACATGTGTCTATATATATATGTATAGACACATGTATATGTGTGTATGTGTATGCATATACATAAAAAAAGTTTATAAAAGTGACATGCACCTGATAAAATATCAAGTAATAAATACCTTCTTAGCATTAAGTTCCACTCATCATATTTTAAATTATTTTAGCTGTTGCTTTTAGTATTACCTCCAAATATTTATTGTTTACTAATTTAACTATTTGTTAAGTATTTGTTTATATTATGAAAAATGAGAAACAACTATTATCTCTCTTCTATACTCCTATTTTAATTGTATTTTTATGTTGGTTTAGTGCATTCTTATTATTATGATATGTAAAATTAATCACTGGAACACCCCCAAAAATGATAATTTATTTGTTTATTTCCTTCTTTCTCTTTTCCTTTCTTATTTTCTTCCTTCCTTCCTGTCTCTTTTTTACCCTTAGATTCTAATTGTCTTTTCACAATTTCTTCTAATACTAAACACTTGCTTAGTGCTTATTGTCTACCAGGTACTATTTTCAGTGTTTCACGTGTATTCATTCATTTTAATCTCATAATAATCTTTTAATGTGGATACTATAATTATCATCCCCATTTTATAGTGGGGAAGACTGAAGACCAGAGAATGAGACAATGGTAGAAGTCACACAACCAGGAAGGGATAGAGCTAGAATATGTACACAAGCAGTATGATTTCAGAGTCATAATGTTAAATACAATGTTACCTTCTTGCTGTTCTTAGTTTTTCAAAAGCTCAATCACATGAGAAACTCTTATAATTTATTCCCACAAGGAAACTTTGCCTCCTAGCTTCTGTGTTTTCCATACAGAAACAAAAAAGACCATTAGACTACACCTCCAAATGGCTTTGGCAAATGAGAAATATCATTGTGTGGCCCTACTACTGATCCAGAAATATCATCTGATCAGATCTTGAGCAACATCTGAGGAGCAGAAGGAAGTCTGTTTTGGGTTAAGAGAGAAACCTCAGATAACTGCCTCAAAAGGGCCTTTCTTCATTGATCCAGTTCCCACAATTTTTATAGTCAGCACTGGAAGCTTCTCTTAGTTCCTGGGCTTTGTTAACAATAGAGGTCTCAATTTCACCTTAGTTGATTTTTTCTTAAGTAATTATTTTTTATTATTTTAGAGTTTCAATTTCCTATGCACTTTCTGGTTCCCGGCTGTGACACAGCTGCCCATCTGATTAATTATTTTCATGTGGTCTTCATTTCAAACCTGTCCTCTTTTCTCTCTTCCCCTCCCTGCTGAGTCTCAGCATTCCTTGCCCTCAGGAATGGGCAAGGAGGGCCACCTGCTGTTACACATCCCCCTAACCTGAGGACTTTCTGTTCTCACTTGTCTTCAGGTGGTCATCCTAAGGAATTTGCAAGGATGGCCCAGGTAGTAACTATTCTGTTCTCAACTGCTGGTACTTTTATTTGATAAAACTTTAAAAGAAAATTGCTTAGATTAAAGCTTTATCTTAAAAATAAATGACAGATTTGACTTAATGATGTAGGAAGCTAGGGAGGCCTATTTTCCCTAATTTAAATTAATTCACCTCTGTCTGCACTAATAACTTATGGATGAATTGAACCTCTGGGTAAAATTGTAGTGGCTATTAGAGTACAAAATGTAATCTCACTAGACGTTACATATTCAACATTATTTCACATTAAAAACTTGATAAAAATTCATCTCTCCTTTTTTTCTTTGCCATACAACAGATAACCCTTTCTTTGGTTCCCATTTACTCAAATTCTAGGTGTTCTTGATTGCAGACTCTTGGAAGCTGTTAAAATGCATTGTCCTCTTAGGCAGACCATAAACCGAGCTAGTATTGAGAGAAGCTAAAGCCATTATGATTTCATCAAACGCCTTGAGTTTATGAGAAGCAAAACCACAGGTATTAGGTAGGTGCATAAAAAATCGAGTCAAACTCTAGACAAGGATCAAGATTCTAGGGATCTAATCCAGAGGGTAAAATTGTGATATAACCTCAGATATGCTGGGGGACATGGTGACAGTAATTTGTGGGGTAATCCATTCTCTAAGGATAGAATTACCTAAGACTATCAAAGTTTGGGGAAACAGGAATAGGAGGCATGTGATGATAAAACATGCCCCCAGTTGACTGGAGACAATAGGACTCTCTTACCAGAAATGCAAAACGATCAACTGTGAAGTGATAGAGCTAGGTAGTGGTGGCTTAAAATGCAGATGTGAGAGAGTGACAGAAAAATGCCAGGACCCAAGAGACTGTAGAATGGGGGCCAGGCAAGTGGCCTTATTTTTCCACACATTGTTTGGAGAGGTTGTCAATTGATAATGTTACTGAAGTTTTTGGCCTGTTGATTCCTTTTAAAATATGTATCATTGTAGTAAAATACACACAACATAAAATTTACCATTTTGACTATTGTTAAATGTACAGTTCTGTGGCATGAAATACATCCATATTGTTGCCCAACCAATCACTGAAACTCTTTCATCGTGCAAAACGGAAACTCTCTGCCTATTAAACAACAACTTCCTCTTCCCTCAGCCCTGGCCAACCACCATTCTACTCTCTGTCACTATGAATTTGACTACTCTAGATACCTCAGATAAGTGGAATTATAGTGTATTTGTCTTTTTGTGACTGACTTATTTCATTTAGCCTAATGTCCTCAAGGTTCATTAATGTTGTAGTGTATGTCTGAATTTTCTTTATAAAGCTGATTAATAATATTCCATTGTGTGTATAAGTGTATGTTTGTGTGTGTGTGTTTGTATATCACATTTTATTTATCTGTCTATATTATAATATAAGAAACAACAAAACAAATGGGCAATAAAAAATGCTAAAACCACAAATCCATTGTGTCCCAGAGAAGTGGTATACCCAGCCCAGGATTTGAGTTCTTGTTTTGAATAGCTGATTATGATTGGAACTGATGAATGGCAATGACCTTTTTTTTCTTTTCTGCAAATGTCAGTAATCTTCCAATCTCCACACTGGGCTTACATTATAACCTTACATACCATTCAGCTCTTACTTATATATTGTCTCGTTGTTTTCTAAATATTTAATTCCAGTTTTTATTGCTTCTACCAGAATTTGAGTTATTTGAGGTCTGAAGTCATGTTTGAGGCATAGATAGTCCTCACTGTTATATATTTTTTGTGACTTGCAAACTTCATACAATGAATTGCTCTTTTTGCTTATTTTTTGAAATTTTGTCTCCTGTTAAGAGTGCACATTTTGCTTTCTCTTCACGGCCAATTTATTTGTTATTTCAAATAAACTTTCAACTATAATTTCACATACTTTATATACCATCTTCTAAAGTCATGTATGATTCTATCATTTCTAATTTTATGTTTTTTATATTTTCTTTTTTCTCTTGTGTATCTAGAAGTTTATTTCACTTTTCTCCCCAAAGGAGCTGCTCTTGAATGTGCATGGACACCTTTTCCCTGCCTAGGTATATTAACATTTATATTTTATTTTATGTTTTCTTTTAGTATGCTTTTGTTACGTGTTTATATCTACCTCCTGTAAAGCTCGACTCTTTTCGTCTCAGTGTACGGTATTTTTATCTTTTGTTTACATTTGTGTGTCATAGTGTCCGCGTATTTTTTAAGGGTAAAAAGCTGAGGCCCTCTATGATTTATTTTCTAAAATTAGTCAGTATTGGTTGTTTATTTGTCTTAAATATGGTATGTTCCCTCTTCATCTTTTTAGTGTTATATTCTATTTCTCTATGTTAAATAATTTTAAAAATTCTTGATTTATTTTGTGTTGCTATTTATTGTTTGCTGTTGTTGCATTTCAAGTTAAACCTTGCAAAAAAATTATCTTACTCAGGGATATTACTTGCCTGAAAACTGGGTGGATTAATTGCCCTGTTTTGATTTTAGGATTCCCCTCTCAGATTTTAAGCTGTTTCCTTTCCTTCTTTCCTTCCTTCCTTCCTTTCTTCCTTCCTTCCTTCCTGATCTGAGGGGAATGGAAGGTTTGCTTCCATAGGTAATGTAGCAGGACAAGCCACAGACAAAATGCCTCAGACACTGAGTTAAAGAAGGAAGGGCTTTATTCGGCCGGGAGCTTCGGCAAGATTCACGTATCCAAAAACCAAGCTCCCTGAGTGAGCAATTCCTGTCCCTTTTAAGGGCTCACAACGCGTGAGAGGGTTGTGATTGATTGAGCAAGCAGGGGGTACGTGACTGGGGGCTGCATGCACTGGTAATCAGAACAGAACAGAACAGGACAGGGATTTTCACAATGCTTTTCCATACAATGTCTGGAATCTATAGATAACATAACCAGTTAAGTCAGGGGTCGATCTTTAACCAGGCCCAGGGCATGACACCGGGCTGTCTGCCTGTTGGTTTCATTTCTGCCTTTTAGTTTTTACTTCTTCTTTCTTTGGAGGAAGAAATTGGGCATAAGACAATACGAGGGGTGGTCTCCTCCCTTATTCCCCCTCTTTGAGAATTTCACTCAATAGTGGGAGTTCTCACTTTCATTCTCACTACCTGTGTCGTTTTGCAAGACAGATCAATAGTGATTAATATAGTACACTTGCGCTGAAGCATTTTGGTGAACTAAGGTAGCAATGAAGCTTTTGATCATTTGAGGAAGTACAGGTAGAAAACAACAGAACAGTAAGCAGGTTTCTATTACTATTATAACTTCTATTATAAGGGTTTTAAATCTTTCTAGAGCTGGGAACCATTTTCCAAACATGGCCCCAGGATCAAATCCATGCCACACTTGCATGGGTACATGTGCCAGTTATGTCATATTTCTAACTATGTCTTCAACTATTTGCCCTTGATGATCTATGTGTAGATAGCTATTAGTAAGGTTAAATTTCTCACAGACCCCTCCTTCAGCTGCTAGCAAGTAGTTGAGAGCCAATCTATTCTGATAGATAGCATTTCTCATCTGAGTTTCTTGAGGGGCCAGAGTAGTCAAGGCTCTGCTGGTCTTATTAGTGATTATTTCTAAGAGAGCTTGTAACCGTATGATTCAGCTGAGCATGTAAATGTGGGTCCGGTATCCCCACAAGCCATCTTGTGCCCATGTAGCAGGCCCATAATATTGTATGATTCTCTCAGGGGGGCCATTCATTATCTTTCCAATTTCCTATAGCTATGCTTCTCTTTTCGCGGGAAGCATAGACAGGGAAGCCCAGGAGTTCACCTGTCTTTATGGGCAGTAGGAAGAAAGATGGTTTAATAGTGTCAATAACACAACTACCTGCCCACTGGTCAAGTAATTTGGCGTAAGGTCTATGCCCACATACACAGTATAATCCAGTGGGGGCTGTCCAGTCCCAGTGGGACTCCGGGTGGGTCTCTGGGTGGGTCCACACAATTTGCAACTTTGGGAATTTACTAAATGGATTTTTCTTAGTGTGGTTTGAACTCCACTAGGTGGCTGTTTTTGTAGTACTATTATACAGTTTTTGCCCAAGGCAGCTGAGTCTTCCCACAGGAAGAGTGAAGTCCTCCCCCACTCTTGCAATACAGTATTGTCTAATGATTGAGGCTTTTAGGACCCAGAAGTTATCAGGGTGATTCTTTTGAGTCAGGAATTTATTGGGAACTGGGTCTGTAGGTACTAATTCTCAGGCTTCCCATGGCCATTGATATCCCATTACAGTTCTTCCACATACATAACATGACGTGACATTGAGAGAATTGGCTACATGTTCAGCTAATTGCAAAAACAAATTTCTTGTTTTTCCTGGAATTTCTGGTACTGGCGCATTCAGTTCATCATAGAAGGTTTGAAATACTGGCTCAGGAGAGCGTTTATAAACTCCTCAAACCATGATATTTACTCGAGGATCCAGTCCAACCCCCTTGATTTCAAGGGTTATACGCTCCCCTTTTTTCCAGCAAGGATCAAGGGGATTGGTTATTACTAGTTCGAAGGGGTTACACTGACAACTGGTACAGGAAGGGCCACTTTTCCCTTTCTGAAGGTGGACAAGATTCTTTTTTCTTTTTTATCCAAGTAGCCTAAATGGCACGAGACCAGTATCCACATTGATTTCCACACAGTCCTAATTTATGAAAAATGCACTTATTTTCTGCCATATAGACTCCTTTTAAATTAAGAGAATCACATCTTTTTCCTAACTTATTACTATTAATGACAGCACAGTCATCAAATTTCAAGGTGACTTGTTTGGGCACCCCTCTTTCTTCTGTTTTGGCTAACACTTTACTCGTATCATTTATGAACCCCCACCAGTCCTCAGTCCTTAATCTTATTTTAAAAACTGTGGTCATGGGAGGCTCAGATGGGTCATAACACACATCAGGTTGGTCATTTCCTGGGCTATGTACCTTGTATAGAATAGCATTATACAAACAAGTTCTTTTTAGAGTCCTGGTACACTTATAATAACCACAAAATAATAGGACTGTAGCAACTTTTTGTCCTACCTCAGTGAATTGATGTATACACTGGGAAAAGTCCTCAGTCTGAGGAAGGTCAGTTGAAGTCCTTACCGTACAAGTCCAAATTTTAAGGAAAATGAGTCCCGCGATGAGTTTTCTCAGCTTCAGCCGTGCATGAACCAGTCAGCTTCTGGGTGTAACTGGAGCAGGGCTTGTCGTCTACTTCAGAGTCACTTTGCAGGGGTTGGCGAAGCTGCTCCTGCCCACGTACAGCTCACAGTCTACTGATAGTCAAGGATGGTCTCAGAGGTTGGGCCCACTAGAATAAAATGAGTCCAATACCTCTACATGTTTATGTTCAACTGGGCTCTCTGATACCAGGAGTAAGGTGGCGGGATTTAGGGTGTTGCAAGCTTCAGTGGTTATGCGGGGATTTTCACATAGTAAGCTTTGGTACTTGGTTATTCTAGCGTTTGTTAGCCAATGATGTCCTTTGGTATTCCTCAAAGTTACCACAGCATGGGGGGGCTTTATATTCGGGTTTTGCCCAAGGGTTAGTTTATCTGCTTCTTGTGCTAACAGCACCGTTGCTCCCAGGGCCCTTAGACATGGGGGCCAGCCTTTGGAAACCCCATCTCATTGTTTTGAGAGATAGGCCACAGGCCTTGGCCAGGGCCCCACAGTCTGGGTTAAAACTCCAACGCCATTTTTTCTCTTTCTGACACATAGAGTATAAAGGGTTTTGTCAGGACAGGTAGCACCAGGGCTAGGGCCAACATGAGTTTTTCTTTTAACTAATGAAAAACTTGCTGCTGTTGGTTGTAATAGATGTAGTTTATCCAATCTACATTTTTATTAACTGTCACCCGCCAAAATATTGACTCAAATCCTGCAGCTCTTTGATTTCAAGCTTTAAGTTGATCTGGTATTCCCCGTGGGACTCCAATTGTGTCTAAATAGACGTGAGAGTCAAAAGACCCATAAGGGGCTTCTCTCGCTTTATGATGTCTTATTTTTCCTCCCTCTGATTGATGAAATGCCAGGGTGAAAGGGATAGCCAATTGGACTAAAGTACAAGTGCCACTCCAGTTATTCAGCAGAGTGCCCACCACAATACCACCACACATCCACTCGGGGATGAACAAGGGCTGACTGATTGATAAGCTCTGGAAAATTCTTAAGCTCACTGCATCCCTTCAGATCTCCAAGGAGCACTAAGTTTCCTCCCTGTCGTGAGAGACACGATGTGAACTTAGTGTTGGGAGAGGGAAGCTGGATGGCCCTTGGGGGCTGACCTGCAGGGTGCCAGACTTTGGAATATAGTGGAGAGAGCTTGGCATGACTTATTACTCCAGGCTGTAGAATCCTGGAAAAGAGCAACCATTCAGCCCACGCCTGGTCAACTGGAGGACAACCTTAGTGGAAAGGGGAAAATCTGAGCCTCTGGCCTGGCATGTGCACAAGCATAACAATTGCTTTTGTTTAACGTGCTAATGGAATATTTGATCCATTTCAACCACGCATTTGCATCTTGGTATCCTGTTTTAATTGCCAAAGTTTGTTTTAAGTCTTTAACTTCTGTGATCCTCTAGTAAAATGAAAGTATGATTATAGGAAATTACAAAAACTGGTTGGGGCACTCTATCCTTGCTCTTTAGTGGTCCACAGAACATTGGACCAACTATGGCATAAAAGCTCTACATTGGGGGGCAAGACTCCTGGTTGACACTGGAGTCTTTATTGAAATTTCCCAGGATTAAATGGTCCTAATTTACTAATGCCCAGTCTGAGGAGAGTCAGGAGGGACAGAGGTACTTTTCTGAAGTAGAGAGCTATCTTTGACTTGGCAAGTCCCCACAGGGTATAACAAGGCAAGCATTAAATGCAATAGTTTGAGATGAAATTGACGTGGTTATGTTAATAACTAGATGGTCAGCAATAGAGCAAGGAAAGAAGAAAGAGTAGGCTGGGTGCGGTGGCTCACGTTTGTAATCCCAGCACTTTGGGAGGCTGAGGAAGGTGGATCACAAAGTCAGGAGATCGAGACCATCCTAACACGGTGAAACCCCGTCTCTACTAAAAATACAAAAAATTAGCTGGGCCTCGTGGTGGGCTCCTGTAGTCCCAGCTACTCGGGAGGCTGAGGCAGGAGAATGGCGTGAACCCAGGAGGTGGTACTTGCAGTGAGCCGAGATCATGCCACTGCACTCCAGCCTGGGCAACAGAGTGAGACTCCATCTCAAAAAAAAAAAAAAGAAGAAGAAGAAAGAGTAATAGAATAGATGAAAGAGTTAAATTTTTCTTAGCTTTAGTTTGGTAGGGTTTTCCTCTGGGACTATGGCCCACAACTCTGGAGGGGGTGGCTCTTTCTTGACTCGGTTGTGATGAGTCCATCCTTTTTTCACTGTATGAACAGCAGTCTCAGTGCAGCACAAGGTCGGGTCCTTTCTAGGCTGGCTCTAGTTTCCTTTCTTTTCACCTTTTGATGAGAACGTGATCTTCAGGCTTGTGCTGGTTTACCAGAAATTCTAGGGGTGATACATGTGCTAAAAGACTTTTAGTTTTGAGGGAAAGGAAAGTGGAAGATAAACCAAGTATGTAATTTTTAAGAAATTGACCTTTTGTTTTAAATGTGGGGACATTAGCAGTGGACTTTATAGTCCTTGGTGCCTTTCTACTGAGAAATTTCCTTTAGCACCTCTTTTTATTAGTTTCTTAGACCAAAGAAGCCAAACACCATTTTATATTTGACAATTCTTCTTGTATGATTTTTATACCAGATAAGCTAAATTTCACCTTTATATGAGTGTGCTATTAATGTTAAACTTAGTTTTAATAAAACTTTATAGACATGTTTATTCAATTTTTAATGTCAGACCATAAGGTAAGATTTTTATAGACTCTTTTTAACCTTTTATAATTTCTGTTAAAGAGCAGGTTAGTGCTTTAAGAAAAACCCATTGTGTTTTTACTTTAATGTCCAGTTCACAGAAAAACTGGATGATACCCCTTTAACTTTAGCTAATATGTTTACACACAGAATTTCCTTTATGATTAATGTTTTAAAACTTGCTTAAACTTTCAAAACAATATATTTTTTAACCTTTTAATGTAGGTAAAAATTTACATTCTTATGCCTCCTTATAATCCTTTTACCAAAGGTACATTTTAGTTTCCTTATACACCTTGCACATAAACTGTTTCTTCAATAGTACTCAGGAGGCCTTATTACTTTTAAACTATACAACATTTCTTGCATAAAATTTTTTTGTAACTTTTTTTTTCTTTCACAACTTTCGCAGACAATTCTTCGACATGCCTTAACTTTCTGACTTTCTGACTTTCTGACAAACATTTTTTTCTTTAAACAACCAGTTGATTTATCTCAGTACAAGAATTTACCATATAACATTCTTTTTACATAAATTTTGCCCCCCGTTTTTTCCCTCTTTTTTTTTTTTTGGAGATGATAACCATTCTTTCCAAAGTGAACTTTCTTTGTGTCTGTGAACTAGACTGTCCAAGGTCACAAGATTAGAAGTTACTATAATACCTGTTACCCTGTTAACTTTTAGCAAACTTTACTTTTGTTGAAAACCTTGTAAGTTTGGGATTTTAATTATCCTTTGCTATTAATAAGAACTTGTTTAGTCTAAATTAACTTAGAATTGGTATAGATGGCTTTTTTTTTTAATTCAATTACCCGGGAGGAACCATCTATTGTCCTGTCCTGAAGGGAGTTCCTCCTAAGTCTGATGGGACCTTTGTATAGTAATTAAGATTTAGATCCCCTGTTAGGAAACCTGCTGGGTTATGGGAATTTTCAGTGGTTAACGTTAAAGTTAAATCATCTTTTTTTTTTTTTTTTTTTTTTTTTTTTTACTTAGGATACTTCTGAACTGGTGAGGTGTGCTCACAATGAGGTTTCCTCTAAAAGTTATTTTTCTAATTTCTTCTGTTAGCAAAGCAGTTGCCGCTACAGATTGAATGAATTTGGGCCATCCGCAGTTACTGGGTTAAGGATTTTTGATAGGAAGCCTACAGGTTGTCAGTGGCCTCAGTGCTTTTGGGCTATGCCCTTGTTTACCCTTACAACAAGGTGGTATTGGAGTGTTGTAGGGTCTAGGAGAAGACCTTCAATTATCGATTATAGGTTTTACATTTACCCTGACTTTTAAAGGAATGGGGTACACTATTTTTGTTTTCTTAACTACTTGTACATTCATCTCTTTCTCTCTTTCTTTCTCTCCTTGACTTTCTGTCTCTCTCTTTGACTTTCCTTTTGCCTCTGTCTCTGCCTCTCTCTCTGCCTCTCTCTTTCTCTTTCTCTCGACTCCCTCTTTGTCTCTCTGTCTCTTTCTCTCTGTCTTTTCCTCTCTCTCTTTACCTCTTTTTCTCTCTGTCTCTTTCCTCTCTCTCTTTACCTCTTTTTCTCTCTGTCTCTTTCCTCTCTCTCTGTCTGCTGGTCTTTCCTTGCTTCTGCCAGCCGCTTATGCTGCTGTTCTCTCAACCACTGTGGTGAGGAGGGGCGGGTCTAAAACCAGCCCTAACCAAGTGTCTATGTACGGGCACTGGTCTGGGTACCCTGGCTTACATGATACCTTGTGCCATACTTTTGAAACAAGGGACCTGCCCAGGCTTCCTTCTGATGGCCAACCCACTTCTAATGCTGGCCAGTCTATCTTACACAAAGTTTTAAGCTTTCTTGGTGTCATAGTACTCTATAGTCTCCCGTAAATCCTTTCTTGCAATTTTTCAACATAGTTCCTGGTGGGGTGGGCTTACTTTATGCCTGACCCATGCTTCCTCAAGACAAAACACCATGCTCACACCACATGCACACCACAAAACAAAGAATGGGTAAAAAGGGCACACACACACTTTTATAGTTTACACCAAACCAGAATCAAAACCAAAATCATAGTATCAATAAATCCAAGCCAGGTCAAAACCAAAACCAAAGTATCAAGCAATCCAAATCAAGTCAAAAACAAAAACTGAAGTGCCGGTACAGGCATGTTGTGGGTGATCAGGCCACACTTCCACTCAAATGGAGTGGGCAAGTTCCAAAGACCAGTCTTACCGAGTTTCAGATGTGTGGACTCCAAGTGCCCGTTCCTTCCCGGTGTTCAGCCACTACATTGATCCTCCATGGGGGCCTGCTGTGCACCGCTCTGATGAGGTGTTCTACCAGGGCAAATGCCTACCCAGGAGTGCTCTCAGGATCCGGGTTGCTCAAGCTGGCCTGAGTCCCCCAGAGGGATGCTCCACAGGGCAGGCCTAAGCTTGTAAGGGGCTGCCTGGACCGTCCGTTAATCACCTCGCTTCCCTGTCAGGGAACCAAGAAATGTAGCAGGACAAGCCACAGACAAAACCCCTCAGACACTGAGTTAAAGAAGAAAGGGCTTTATTCAGTCGGGTGCTTCAGGAAGACTCATGTCTCCAAAAACCAAGCTCCCTGAGTGAGCAATTCCTGTACCTTTTAAGGGCTTACAACTCTAAGGGGGTCCATGTGAGAGGGTTGTGATCGATTGAGCAAGCAGGGGGTACGTGACCGGGGGCTGCATGAACCAATAATCAGAACGGAACAGAACAGGACAGGGATTTTCACAGTGCTTTTCCATACAATGCCTGGAATCTATAGATAACATAACCAGTTAGGTCAGGGGTCGATCTTCAACCAGGCCTAGGCCACAGCACCAGGCTGTCTGCCTGTGAATTTCATTTCTGCCTTTTAGTTTTTACTTCTTCTTTCTTTGGAGGCAGAAATTGGGCATAAGACAAGATGAGGGGTAATCTCCTCCCTTATTCATACTGTTGGGTACATAAATTAACTACAATTAGTCTGGCACTATAATCTATTTTGAGGATGAAATAGGGCAACAGATTCCATTCTCTTGTCCTCAAAGCTATTACATATTACAGTTTGTTGTTTTTAGCAGTGACTCAGATTGTTCACTCTTTTTTTATTCTTTTGGTCATTTTAATCAGACAAGCAATGACTGGGGAGACTCCTGTACATTAGTTACTAGGTTGAGAAAATTATATCTAGAGTCTTAGTGCAGTGCTTGGAATATATTGAATATTTAAAAAATGTAAGCTATTGTTTATATTACTTCATTTTACCAAGGTTCTCATTTCATATTTGATAATATTTCAGTCCTGGATGAGGCTATTTTTAAAAATTCAATTTATGATTATGGATATTATAAGATCTTTTTGTTGTTGTTTTTCCAACTCCATTTTTTCTTTCTTCTTTGTTTTGTTTTTCTGTTACTAAAACTCACCTTTTCTCACCACTTTGGCTGTTTTGTCTTTTAGATTCTGGGTCTACTCACCATATCATTCATCCATTCATTAATTTTCTGTATTATTTTTTCCATTGATCATGGTTCTGTTCAGCTGGCAAGCATCAAGTAGTTTCACATTGGTCAGTGACCCTTCATTCACTTTCTCTCCTCCTTCTTGGTCTTCTCAGTTTCCAGAAGTCTTCTTCACCTTTGCATAAAGTGAACAACTTGCATCATATCTTTAACCAGATCCAAATAATTTCATCCTTCTGATGACTTCCTCCAATTCAGATGTCCACAGTATAATGTATATTGATGAAAACCCACTTTAATATCTGCAGTGTCTTTGGTGCCTTCAGAGGGCTTTAGAGCCAGAAGACATCATAGTGACCAACTCCATACCATCATTTTGCAAAAAGAAGACAGTAAATGAGACTGACTTATACGAGGTGACTTATACAAACACTATGCAGTGTGTATAAATTTTTGAAATTTGCTGATATATTTTAAATACTCAAAGGCCAATTTTCATAGTACAATCAAATCTCCCTCCACAAGCCTGGGAAATCTACCAAGGTTATAAGAAATTTCAGAAAGAAGGTCTTTCTGTACCAACTTAAATAGCTTTCTTGTTAAGAGTGGTTGGCATTATGCTTGGCAAGGAACCAAAATTAATGGTATAGCTTTAAAGACTTCATGTTTCAGTTACACAAAAACTGTGTTTCTCCTTTGTGCTTAAGTGGAGCATACCTGGTACTCTCTCTCATTACACAAAGACAACTGACAGAAATGTATTGCATACAAAAGCAAGGGCTAGAGATTCACAAAACTCTTTGGGTGGCTAGAATTTAAAATAATGTCAGGAATAAACAATATGTTTGTTAAAGTTATCACAAAACTGTATGCTTGCAAAGATTATACATATATGTAGAAATTCCACACATATGCCCCAACATGCGCACATTCACCACACAGTCACATATACAGGACAAAAGAAATATATCTTTCCGATGCAAATGTCTCATCATTGTTTGTCTCATTTTGCACTGTGTGATTTTAAATAAATCACACTTCATCTGTCTCTGTCTTTTATACTCTTTTTCCAAAGATAATTATATATTTACTTATTCTTTATTTCATTAAAGTTACAATTTTAACTGGATGGGTAGTCTCATTCTAAATACTTTCAAGGTAAATGTTTTGGCACAAAAATGATTGATATGGGCCAGGTGCGGTGGCTCACACCTGTAATCCCAGCACTTTGGGAGTTTGAGGCCGGCAGATTGCTTGAAGTCAGGAGTTTAAGACTAGTCTGGCCAACATAGTGAAACCCTGTCTTTACTAAAAATACAAAAAAATTAGCCAGGCATGGTGGCATGCCCCTGTAATCCTAGCTACTTGGGAGGCTAAGGCAGAGGAATTGCTTGAACCAGGGAGGTGGAAGTTGCAGTGAGCTGAGATCACATCATTGCATTCCACCCTGGGCAACAGAACAAGAATCCGTCTCAAAAAAAAAGAAAGAAAAAAGATTGATATGCATCCATCACTTTACAATTATTTGTAGTTACCATATGATTCCTAATACTCTACTTACAATTAATTGCAGTCTCAAAATGATTTTCAAGCAGATATGATTTTAAATAAGTTTTTAAACAACAACCCACTCAGCACATTTTCATAGCAAGCACCTCTAAACAAATTTATAAATGTTTCAATCTTTTCTAAAGTCATTTAAATGACTTCATGACAAATGCAAATTTTCCTCCTTGTTTTTTGGAAAGTACCAGTCAGAGGTAGATTTGAGTGACATCTCTTTTAAAAGAGAACAAAGAGACCAACAACTCAAATAATCTAAAACCTTCACTTGTTATTGTCACAAAGACTGCTTGAGCTTTAAAAAAGTAAAGAACCATTAATGATACAATATAAATAATTGTGTGGGCTCTGAGATGATTAGTTAGGGAGGTGGCAGAATTATCCTGTCAAAAATAAAGTATTTTTAAATATCTAAAAAGGAACTGTATAACATCAATCCTAAGCATGAAAACCCTGACATCCAATGCTACTATGCCCAGAATAATAATAATTAAAAATAGGATTCTATATTTTCAACAAAAATGCTCATAAAGAAAATATTGAAGTTGTTCTCTATGTCTCTTAATCCTCAGTTCTCTATAAAATGCCATCCTAGCAGTTAAGCTGTGTCAAAATTGAAATGGCACATCTTACAGTCATCATTATTGTCATTAATATAATAGATTATATTATTGATCACTTATTGGATGTTAGTACTTGTTTTGAACTTTTTACATTTTTGATCCTTTCTTTCTCACAGCAACCCTATGGAATAGTTACCATTATTATGCTCAATATACATATGTGAGAAGTATAATTTGGCATAATTTGGAGAATATAAGTGACTTGGTCAAAGTCACTCAGCTAGTATGAGGCAGAAGTAGAATTTGAATACAAGTCAGTCTCCACTGTCTTCAAAAATATCTCTAAGATAGGTATTTCTTTTTAATTTTGTTCCTCTTTTTCTTTTCTTTCTTTCTTTCTTTCTTTTTTTTTTTTTTTTTTTTTTGAGACAGGGTCTCTCTCTTTGTCCCAGGCTGGAGAGCAGTGGCACGATTATGGCTCACTGCAGTCTCAACCTCCCAGGCTCATGCATTCCTCCCACTTTAGCCTCCTGAGGAGCTGGAACAACAGGAGTGTGCCACCATGTCCATCTAATTAAAAAAAATTTTTTTTGGAGAAACTAAGTCTCACTATATTGCCCCAGGGAAGACTCAAACTCCTGGGTTCAAATAATCCTCTCATCTCAGTCTCCCAAAGTGTTTGTCCTATTTTACTGTATAATGTTTGAAAACAGACAATTCCCTGGTTACATTTAAACATACATTTTCTTAATAAGTCTGAGTTTTCCTTAGGAAATGTTGCAAGAAACAGTATTACTTGTTCAAATAACTTAACTTTTTAAAAAGTTTTTGATAAATATTGCCAAACTGCTTTCAGAAATTTATATTAATACCACAGCATGTGAGAGTATTCTTTTTACTTCTACCTAGCACATAAGTATTATTTTAAATTTTGTTTATTTGATAGGCAGATACATTTTTATTTTCTTGTTGCTTATTCATTTTTAATAGAGCATTTTATATAAAAACAAAAAATAAAAACATTAACCTTAGACTGTTGGCAGTTAAAAAATACCTCTCGACACACATTACTATCTTACCAGTATTTATCAGTTACTTCAACATTCAATGAGCTCTTTCTGTTTACTAGAAATTCTATAAAGCTCTAAAGTTTAATACAAATTAGGTCCACTTTAGTCCTTGAGGAGCCTTGGGAAGAAGCAATATGAGAGCAGTAACGAGGAGTGAAAAGGTGCACTTGAGCCCCAAAAAGCTTGTCATTCTGGCCTGTGTAGTCCAGGAAAACTTCATGGAAGCATGGAAGAGGTGACATTTTCACTCTATCTTGAAGGATAAAGAGAAATTTGCAAAGTAGATTATAGGACTATCTTAGGGAAGGCATAGAGTGTAACCAAACTGAGGACTCAAGGAAACAAAAGTCAGATTCAAGGAATGGTAGGATATTAAATTTTAACTGAACATCAAATGAATGTTCTCAGAATTACAAGGGATGGAGCATGAAATAATTTTTAACAAGCATTGAAGAGACTTTTTGTGTGTTAGAATGAGTGTCAATACATAGAATCATTATTTAATTGCAATAAACTATTTCACACTCGATCAAGCCATGTAAAAATTATGTTCAAAATTACAATTTCAAGATCTGGTTATTTATGTTAATGACTCTAATTTTGCAGCAAAGTATTTCAAAATATTCTAATGATGATAATTGGTACCTTTATAACATGATTGAAAATCTTCTGCTTACTAGCCACATTTGTCTCCTCCAATTGTATATCTCACAACTTCTCAAAATGCCCAACTGTTGATCCAGAAAGAACATCACCTTATTGTCTGTAACAAACACTATTCTGGCTTTGATCTCAGCCATTTTACTAATTTTGTTCTCACATGAGATGTCTTCACTCCACTCTTCTCTCCACTCCTCATATTTAACTAATCCATCAAGGCCAAGCTTAAATGCTTACACTTATAGAAGTCTTCCAGCCCTTATTGGAAGAAATTCTAAATTTCTACAGCACTGATATTTGCCGTATCCCAAATTTTGCATGTTATACATTTACATTTTTTTTTTCTTTTCTGATTTCACAGTTTGTAAAATTAAGCTTTTGGGGAATTGTGCATTATTTTCTACTTTACAGACAAAGAAAATTAGACTTCAAAACTGCCTAAAGATCATACTAATGATTATTTTGTGCATTTATTTATTTATTCATTTTTCAAGTAGGTATTGTATGCCTAGCACATGCAAGGCACTTGTCATGAACAAGTGAAAATGGCTCATGTTCTTCAGAGGAGTTTAGGATCTAACAGGGGAGCTAGATATCTAAACACATTTTTGAATTACTTATATGATATAGAAGTGGCACAATGAAGGAAATAATCAACTTAACCAATGTGGTTGGATATGAGTGTGTGAAATACAATGAACATTTCCTAGAAGGGAAGAATATATACAAGTTTGTGAGGAATGGAGTTTTTAACAGGCCAATAAAGGAGATATATATTTCTAGATGAAGAAATAGCATATCCTAATGAGCAGAGGAAGACATTTCAGGGAAAGTAAGATTCTGTGCATTATGGGGTTAGGAATGGGAATAACACAAGGTGAAACTAATAAGTTAGAAAAGAGCCTTTATAACTTGAAGTGGAATTGGGTTTGTCCTGAAGTTGAGGGGATATTCTTAAAGCAATTCATCAGTATGTTGCCAGGATCACATTTGTGTATTCAAAATATTACCCTTGTAGAATGGTAGAAAATGGATTGAGGATAGTATAAATAAAAAACAAGGGGGAAAAATTAAGAACCCATTTTAGTAGTCCAGGTAAGAAATGTTAAGGGCCCTAATGTTGGTTGGAGAAAGAGGGAAATATATATTTTGTAAAAGTATTTTTTTCGGATAAAATAGACAAGATTTTGTGACTAACTGGATATATCAAGTGAAGGGAGAGAGGAACCAAAGAGGATAACTAGATTTTACTGCTTAGATAATTAGATGGTGAATTAGCCAAGACAAGTTGGGTAGGACAAGAAGCTTTTTAAGTGGGATGTTGGATGCCAAATTCAGTTGTATAATTGCTGATTAGAGGCTATTTTTGGCCCAGGAAGTGGTCACATAAGTAACCTATTCAATATATCTGTTGCATTAGTCCATTTTCACACTGCGATAAAGATATTACCTAAGTCTGTTTAATTTATGAAGAAAAGAGGTTTAATTGACTCACAGTTCTGTATGGCTAGGGAGGCCTCAGGAAACTTACAATCATCATGGAAAGCAAGGGGGAAACAGGCACCTTCTTACATGGTGGCAGGAGAGAGAGAAAGAGAGAGCAAGCAAAGGGGAAGTGCCACACTTTAAAACCATCAGATTTCACGAGAACTCACTGTCATGAGAATAGCATGGGGGAATCTGCCCCCATGATCTAGTCACCTCCCACCAGGTCCTTTCCTTGACATGTGGGGTACAATTCGAGATAAGATTTTGATGGGACACAGAGACAACCATATTATTCTGCCCCTGCCCCTCTCAAATCTCATGTCCTTTTTACATTTCAAAACCAATTATGCCTTCCCAACAGACTTTCAAAGTCTTAACTCATTCCAGCATTAACTCAAAAGTCCAAGTCCAAAATCTCATTTGAGTCAAGGCAAGTCCTTTCTGCCTATGAGCCTGTAAAATCAAAAACTTTGGAAGTTAGTTACTTCCAAAACACAATGTGGGTACAGGCAGTGAGTAAATGCTCCCATTCCAAATGGGAGAAATTGGCCAAAACAAAGGGACCACAGGGCCCATGCAGGTCCAAAACCCAGCAGGGTACTCATTAAGTCTTAAAGCTCGAAAGTAATGTCCTTTGACACCATGTCTCACAACTAGTGCACGCTGATGCAAGGGGTGGGCTCCCATGGCCTTGGGCAGCTCCGCCCCTGAGGCTCTGGAAGGTAAAGCCCCTGAAGCTGCTTTCACAGACTGGCATTGAGTGTCTGCAGCTTTTCTAGGTGCACAGTGTAAGCCGTCAGTGGAGTTACCATTCTGGGGTCTGGAGGATTGTGGCCCTTTTCTCATAGCTCCACTGGGAAATGCTCTAGTGGGGACTCTGTGTGGGGGCTCCAACCCACATTTTCCTTCCACACAGCCCTAGTAGAGGTTCACCATGAGGGCTCCACCCTATCAGCAGACTTCTGCCTGGACATCCAGGTGTTCCCATACATCCTTTGAAATCTAGGTGAATGTTCCCAAAGCTCAACTCTTGTCTTCCGTGCACTTGCAGGCCCAACACCACATGGAAACCACCAAGGCTTGGGGCTTGTACCCTCTGAAGCAAAGGCCTGAGCTGTGCCTTGGCCCCTTTTAGTCATGGCTGCAGGTGGAGCATCTGGGAGCTGGGATGCAGGGCACCAAGTCCTGAGGGTGCACAGAGAATCTGGGCCCTGGGCCTGGCCCACAGAACCGTTTTTCCATCCTAGGCTTCTGGATCTGTGATAGGAAGGGCTGCCACGAAGATCTCTGACATGCCTTGGAGACATTTTCCCCATTGTCTTGGTTATAAACATTTGGCTTCTCATTACTTATGCAAATTTTTGCAGCTGGCTTAAATTTCTCCCCAAGGAATGGGTTTTTCTTTTCTACCACATAGTCAGGTGGCAAATTTTCCAAACTTTTATACTCTGCTTCCCCTTTAAACATAAGTTCTGATTTCAAACCATCTTTTTGTGAGTTCATATAACTGAATGCTTTCACAAAAACCAGGTCACCTGGCATTGCTGCTTAGATATTTCTTCTGCCAGATAGTCTAAATTATCTCTCTCAAGGTCAAAGTCCACAGATCCCTAGGGCAGGGGCAAAATGCAGCCAGCCACTTTGCTAAAGCATAGCAAAAATGACCTTTGCTTCAGTTCCTAGTAAGTTCCTCATCTCCATCTGAGCCCATCTCAGCCTAGACTTCATTGTCCATATCACTATGAGTATTTTGGTCAAAACTATTCAACAAGTCTCGAGGAAGTTCCAAACTTTCCCACATCTGCCTATCATCTTCTGAGCCCTCCAAACCTGTCCAACCTCTGTTCCAGCCCCTTACTGTTACCCAGTTCCAAAGTCACTTCCACATTTTCAGGTTATCTTTATAGCAGTACTCCCAGTATCCTGGTACAAATTGTCTGTATTATTCTATTTTCACACTACTATAGAGATACTACCTGAATTTATGAAGAAAAGAGTTCTAATTGACTCATGGTTCTACATGGCTGGGTAGGCCTCAGGAAACTTACAATCATGGCAGAAGGTGAAGGGGAAGCAGGCAGGAGAAAAAGAGAGTAAGTAAATGGGAAATGCAGCACTTTAAAACCATCAGACCTCATGAGAACTCACTCACTGTCTTGAGAACAGCATGGAGAAAACCACCCCTGTGATCCATTCACCTCCCACCAGGTCCTTCCATGGACACCCTGGGGATTACAATTCGAGATGAAATTTGGGTGGGACACAGAGCCAAACCATATCACCTGTCTTCGTCTTAGAAGAAAGATCTGGGCTGAAAATATAGATTTGGAAGTCACTAGAATGGAAATGGGTAAAATCACTCAGAAATATGGTCACAAATAAAAACACAGCAGACCAGACATATACTTCTGAGAGACAAGCTGTCTAAAAGGCTCCTGTTTCTTGTCATATGTCCATCAACAGAAATCTCTGTTTTGACCCTTGAAACACAAAGGTGTTATCGGGACAAATATATTTAATGCATTAGAGACAACTTAAGATCTATAATGGGACAGGTAAGGAGGAAACTCCAGGAGCCTATGCATAATTCAGATGATTAAATTTGCCCGTCTATAGAACTCTCCTTGGGAACTGGAACCAGATGGGGTTCAAAACAAAATTAAGTGCAATTAACTTTTAATTTACTGATTTAATGCCCACTACTAAACACATTTTCCGTTTTGAATGTCACATACTAATGATAAGCAGCTCATCTGGAACTTGGCTAACTTTTGCAATTTAATATCTAACTTCAAAATTCTGGCTAGACAACATATTTGGAGGTTAAAAATTCTTCTACAAGCCCAGCGCGGTGGCTCATGCCTGTAATTCCAGCACTTTGGGAGGTCAAGGAGGGCAAATCATGAGGTCAGGGTTTCGAGACCAGCCTGGCCAACATTGTGAAACCCTGTCTCTACTAAAAATACAATAGATTAGCTGGGCGTGGTGTTAGGCAGCTGTAATCCCAGCTACTTGGGAGGCTGAGGCAGGAGAATTGCTTGAACCCGGGAGGCAGAGGTTGCAGTGAGCTGAGATCGTGCCACTGCACTCCAACCGGGGCAACAATGCGAGACTCCATCTCAATAAAAAAAAAAAAAAATTCTTCTACCCATAAATGGTGAGATGCACCCAACTCAGACAAAAAGTAGTCAAATAATGAAGAGGAGCTAGAAGGACCTTGAGAAAAGACAATGTGCTGAAACTCTGTTACATGTTTCAAAGAGCTTATGCAATGTAAGTAATGGAATAATTCATCTACTTTTACTAATGAGCATTACTAAGGAGCCCTAATTTCTGCAGACTGAGGATTGAATGTGAAATGCAAAATTAGAAGGAGACTATATATAGACTTGAGGAGAGTAATACAGGAGTAAGTTTAAAAAGTCTGTTTATAGATTGTGCATTTAAAATCACAAGTATGTAATGAGTATTTTCACATTTCTGTATTGCCTTTATCTATTTCTATTGCAAGCTCCCCAATGAAAGAAATAATCTGACACTTCTCTTGCTTCCTCACCTCCATCCTTCCCTCCCTCCCTCCCTCTGTCCCTTCTTCCATCCCTCCCTCCTTCTCTTCCTCCCTCACTTCCTTCCTTTTTTCCTTCTCTTGCCTTAAAGTTTTTAGCACTGAACATAACATTCTCGTGAACAAATACTCATGAATTTAAATAAAATTGTTTCCATCACTTAGTGTTCCATGGTATATAAAAACTTTGGATTATTTTTACTACTGAATATGTAATTTTTGTTCTTAAATTCATTTCATCATATTTCCTGTTCAGTTTCTATAACTTACTATTCAGAACTTTTATCTTTAAAACACTAATAATATAAGCCATTTGAAGAGATTGAATTCCAAAAACTTACAGCCTGATAATGTTCTGCTACAAAAAGAATGCTGAGCTATAGAAAACTCACTCAGCATAGTAGTTTGGATTTCTACTTATTTGACATCTATAGGAATTGGCAGCTGTCTTTATCCAGAGGCAATACTCCAGGAACTTTTTCCTATTTTCATTATATGTACAGGAAAATTTAAACGTATTTATCTTAAAATACTTGAAATTCCTGATGCCCGCATTTTGATTCTAGTTTTAGGATCTTCTTTATTATGTGTAGAGGTGCTAATTAATCAAGTTTCTCATCTTTCTAAGTGTTCTGAGAGTTCTATTTGCATTTCTTCTTAATGTCACAGAAAATAGAGACTCTAGAAATAAATGTATTGTGTTCTATCCATTATTTTTAAATTAAGAATAGAAACACAAATTTTGTACAACAAAAGAGCAGTAAATGTTTGAGTGCTTTGCATTTGTAGAGAGGGGAAAAATACTCGTTTTCTATGAGGATTCCACCGAAACTAGATTTATAACGTACGTTTTAGTTTCCTATTGCTGTGTAATAAACTACCTCAAAACTTAGTGCTTAAAACCACAACCATTGTATTTGTTAACATTCGGGTAGAACTTGGGTATGTTATTTTTCTTTTCCATGTGTCACACATTTCTCAAGTGGTGATGACAAGATGGAAACAGTCCTGAATACCCAATATGATTTAATTCCCATGTCTAGCACCTTGGCAAATGGGCTGGAGGTTGAGTCTATCTCTCACTCCCCATATGGCTCTTTCTAGATGGCCTCCCTAGGTTTCTTTACATGAGTAGGTCCTAGAAGTAAGCATTCAGAACAGCTGATGTAAAACTGCTGCTCTCTCCAGGCCCAGACTCAGATGTTGCATGGCATCATTATTGCTGGATTCTATCGATCAAAGCAAGCTGCGAAGTAAGAGCAGGTTCAAAAGTAAAGGAGATGGATTCCATCTCTTGATGGGAAACTGGTAAGGTTACATTGCAAATGAGCATATGAGATAGTAGATATTTTTGTGAGCATTGTTAGAAACCCAATCTACTATAACCTGGTTCAGTTCTCTTTGTTTTATTGGAGCTACATATTCCGCATTTGCAAAATGAGGTGATTAATTCATTTATGCAGCATGTAGTTACTAGACAGTTAAGATAGACTATTGAACCAACAGACATGACTTCTCTGCTGTGGAGCTTATCTGTGGATTGGACAAGGTAAAGTGTAAGATTGCTTCTCTTAAAATATTCGGTGATACTTAAAATTAAGCAAGGATACAGCCATAGGTTCTTACTGGGGAAATATGCTTTGTGCTAAAGAATATTTTATTGTCTAAGATAGAAGAATTTCCTTGTTTAGACTTTTTTCAAGCAACCTGATTGCTCACATAGTGTTATATTTCACCTCATTATTTTAAAATTATTTATATCTTAATGCATGCCAAATATAAGGACAAATCCTGTCCCTGCACAGTTAAATAAAACTTTTTTAATTTTAAATTTTAATGAGTACATGGCAGGTGTGTTTATGGAATATATGAGATATTTTGATACAATGCACAATAATAACCTCAGGGTAAATAGGGTATCTATCACCTCAAGCATTTATTATTTATTTCTGTTATAGACATTCTAATTATGCTGCTGTAGTTACTTTAAAATGTACAGTAAAATATTGTTGACTGTAATCACCCTGTTGTTCTATCAAATACTAGATCTTATTCATTCTATTTAACTATATTTTGTACACCTCAACCATCCCTGCTTCTGTCCCACATCCCCCAGCTAGTTTATACTTCTATAAACTAGCTAATGATAGAATCAGGAACAATTGTGTTTAATCAGACCATCCCTTCATTTTCTAGGCAAAAAGATTAGACAATAAATGACACAGAGAAAAAAATACTAAACTGATAGTACCTAAACCATAAAACAAAGCAGCCCAGCTTTTGAGTGAGACCAAGGTCTTAAAGAGAAAATTGTATGATGTCCAGCGAGTCAACATCATTTACAAAATAGTGAAATAGTTCAATCTGCTATCACACCTTTTCCCAAACCATGGTGTTTAACCTTTCAAAATCTTACGGTTGTAGTTTCAAAAGCAGAGTCAATTACCAAGACAAATAAAACTGATGAATTAACTAATTTGTATTCTCTTTAACTGTTTTGATGAAACTCCACAAACATGCTGTTAGTTCCATTCCTCTGAGCTTTGAATAGTTTACTGTTTGTGACGATAAAAGCACGGCTGGGAATACTTTAACATATGCCAGATTCAAACAGAGTGAAATATGACAGTTTATAATCTGTGAGACAGAAGCTTGATCTTTGAAAAATATTTGCATATAAAGTACATGCTTCAATATCATAATTCTGAAAGCCCACATGAACTGAAATTCAGTGATATCACTTAATATGTTGTGTAAACAGTAAGCAGAATCTATCTTTCCTTGTCTGCACATAAAAATAACTTTTTCTTTTGGGACTATTTTTGTAGGAAATATTTTAATTAATAATGTAAAGATAAAAACTGTAGAAAGAGTATCCAAAACAAAATCACACATGCTCCGTTTGAGAGAATGAGATGTTACATTTATTTCTGAAAAAAATAATATGTACATATAAATATAAAAGCATAAAATGTACTTAGAGAGCCTCCTTCCATTGTTCTCATCCAGACCATTTCCTTTTGAAGAATAGGGCAGGGGAAAGCACTTTTAATTGTTTCTTATGAAAAGATCAAAGACCATGCATGTTTCTTGATCATTTTTAACTTAATTTTTAAAATTAACATTCAGTAAATTGACTTTAAAATATATGAGTCTATAAATTTAACATATGTATACATTCAAAGAACTATTACCACAATCAGGATCCAAAAGAGTTACAGCTGTCAGGAAACATGACATATATTATCTCTTTGCCATCATTCCTTCCTCTCATACTTTATTTCTGACCACTACTAATCTGCATTTTATTATTACTTTATTCTTTTAAGAGTGTTATACAAATGTAATCATATGTTGTGTGACCTTTTAAGACTGACTTTATCTACTCAACAAAATAACTTTGAGGGTCATCCAAATGTTGCATGTATCAATCATTCTTTATTTTTATTGCTGAGTAGTATTCCACTGAGTGGATGTACCACAGAGTGTTTATTCATTCACCCATTGAAGGGCATTTGAGTTATTCCCAGAGTTTAGTGCTTATTAATAGAGAAAATATAAACATCCTTTTGTTTATTTCATATAAACACTTGTTTTCATTTCTCCAAGTTAAATACCCAGGAGTGAGATTGCTGGGTTATATGACAGGTATATGTTTAACTTTTTCAGAAACTGTCAAACTGTTTTCCAGGATGGTTGAACCGTTTAGCATTCCCAAGAGCAACTATTAGAGTTCTAGTTGCTCTGCATCCTTGCCAAAAATAGTATCATCAGTATTTTTGAAGATTTTGCCATACTAAAAGGCATGTTGAGGTATCTCATTTGCATTTCCCTAATAATGTCTAATGCTATTGAATGTTCCTTCATGTGCTTTTTGGCCATCAGTATCTTCTTTGGTGAAATTTCTGTTCAAGTGTTTATGTTTATTTTAGATGGGTTGTTTCCTTTCATGCTGTTGATATTTAAGAGTTCTTTACATATTTTGCATACAACTCCTTTGTGGATATGTGATATACAAACATTTTCTCCCCATCTGTACTTTGTCTTTTCATTTTCTTAAGAGAATCATTTATAGAAGAAAGTTTTGGTGTTTTTTCTATTTTCTTATTTTTGTGAAATTTAATTAATCTTTTTTTTAATGTGTTGAAGTTTTGTTGTCATGTCTCAGATAACTTTGGCTAATGATAAAATATAAAGATTTTTTAGGCTGGGCGCGGTGGCTCACATCTGTAATCCCAGCACTTTGAGAGGCCGAGGTGGGCAGATCATGAGGTCGGGAGATTGAGACCATCCTGGCTAACACGGTGAAACCCCATCTCTACTAAAAATACACTTCATATCTGGCCAAAGTAAGTTTTATGAGCAAAAGAAAAATAAGATCCTTTTTATACAAGCAAATACTGAGGGATTTTTTTAACCACCAGACCTACCTTACAAGAGCTCCTGAAAGAAGCATTAAAAATGGAAAAGAAAGTCCATTACCAGTCACTGCTAAAAACACAATGACAGGATCAAATCCACTCATGTCGATTCTAAATTTGAAGGTAAATGGGCTAAATGCCCCAATTAAAAGGCACAGTGTGGTAAGCTGGATAAAGAAGCAAAACTCAATGGTATGCTGTCTTCAATAGACCCATCTTACCTGCAATAACACCCATAGACTCAAAGATATGGAGAAAAATCTACCAAGCAAATAAAAAAGAGAAAAAAAAGCAGAGGTTGCAATCCTAATTTCTGACAAAACAGACTTTAAGCCAACAAAGACAAAAACGACAAAAAGGGCACTATGTAATAGTAAAGGGTTTAAGTAAACAAGAAGATCTAACTATCCTAAACACATATGCACCCAATGTAGGCCCACTCAGATTCCAAAAACAAGTTTTTAGAGACCTTCAAAGAGATGTAGAGTCCCACACAACAATAGTGGGAGACTTTAACACCCCACTGACAGTGCTAGATAGATCACTGAGGCAGAAAATTAACAAAAACATTTAGGGCCTAGAATCAACAATGACCATATGTATCTGATTTACATCTACAGAACTCTCCATCCAAAAACAATAGAATATACATTCTTCTCATCTGCACACACTCTAACATCATCACACAATCGGACATAAAACAGTTCTTAGCAAATTCAAAAAACCAAAGTTAAACCATCCACTGTTGGACCACAGCTCAATAGAAATAGCATTTGTTATGAAGAAAATTGCTCAAAATCATACATTTACATGGAAATTAAACAACTTGCTTTTGAAAGGCTTATTGGCAAATAATGAAATTAAGGCAGAGATCAAGAAGTTATTTGAAATTAATGAGAATAAAGACACGATCAAGAAGTTATTTGAAATTAATGAGAATAAAGACACAACATACCAGAATATCTGGCACACATTTAAGGTAGTGTTAAGAGGGAAGTTTAGAGCATTAAACACCAGTATCAAAAAGTTAGAAAGATCTCAAAGTAACAACCTAATATCATGACTAAAAGAACTAGAGAAGCAAGAGCAAACCAACCCCAAAGCTAGCAGAAAACAAGAAATAACCAAAATCATAGCTAAACTGAAGGAGATTGAGACATGAAAAGTCATTCAAAAGATCCACAAAGCCAGGATGAGACCAGCATCATCCTCATATTCTTGATGAATATTGATGCAAAAATCCTTAGCAAAATACTAGCAAACCAAATCCAGCAGCACATCAAAAAGCTAATCCACCATGACAAAATAGGCTTTATCCTTGGGATGTAGGGTTGGTTCAACATATACATATCAATAAACATGATTCATCACATAAACAGAACTAAAGACAAAACCATGTGATCACTACAATAGATGTGCATGCATACATGTACTCATACAAACACACACACAGGACTGCTGACTTATTAACTGTTTATTTTTTGTACTAGAGTGGTATGGCAAGGCATTTAGGTAAAATGTTTAATAGGAAATATTGAAAAATTATTATACATTCATGAAAAATAATTTTATTCAAAAACATAAAATGGAGTATGTAAACAAAATAAAACACCATAACATCTTATATATGTTTTAATTAAACAGAGTATAAAGTATGCATTGAAAATAATTAACTAGAAGTAGTTTTTTATCTTTCTGAAATAAACCATAAAGTTATTTTTCTAAATTAAAATTTAAAGATATTTGGAGTTCAATAACTTAATTTTTTTACTAAATATTTCTGTCCATATATGGAAAGTTGCTTTAGTAAACCATGCTACATCCAACTAATGAAGTACTATGCCACTGTTAAATAAAAAGAATGAGGGAGGGAGAAACTCTAGAATTTTGATGATCCTTGGGTATATTGCTATGTAAAAAAAGATAGATGCAAAAGATTATGTAAAGCATATTAACATTTATGTAGAAAAGAGGAAATAAAACATTTATCATTACCTGTTTATATTTTCAAAAAGCAGTATTTAAAACATAAGAAGTATAAACCAAAAACTAACAAAATTAGTTACTTGAAAGGACAGTGGGGATGGGGAAAAGAGATAGGGGATAAATGAGATTTCTATGAGTATAAATTCTTACATAGTTTTACATAGTTCTAACATTACAAAAATTTTAATGATTTACAAAATAAAATAAATGACAATAATTATAAAGAAATAACAAACTAAACAAATATAAGCAGAAATAAATTAGTCTACATCAAATTATTAATATAACTACATAGAAATAACTCTAATTACTCAGTAAGTCTACTCACTCAAGGGGATGTTTTCAAAAAACAAACAAAAACTACAAAAATCTTAAAGGATACCAAATCACTCTTTTTTTCTTTTAATTTTTGAGATGGAGTCTCGCTTTGTAGCCCAGGCTGGAGTGCAGTGGCGTGATCTCAGCTCACTGCAACCTCTGCCTACTGGGTTCAAGCAATTCTCCTGCCTCAGCCTACTGAGTAGCTGGGATTACAGGTGTGCACCACCATGCCCGGCTAATTTTTGTGCTTTTAGTAGAGACAGGGTTTCACCATGTTGGTCAGGCTGGTCTCAAACTCCTGACCTCGTGATCTGCCTGTCTTGGCCTCCCAAAGTGCTGGAATAACAGGCGTGAGCCACCGCGCCCAACCAAATCATTCTTTACTCTTAATTAACATTGGTTTGGTGTGGGTCATAGTCTTTATAATCTCTTAAATATTCTATAGTTATTATATTTAGGGAGATTATTATTTTAAAATAACTTTTTATAATGTTTGAGCACATATATGCACATCCATATATGTTTAATATTGAGATCATCCTATACATAATAATTTGCAATTATTTTATTTGCTATCTTATAAATTTATAAAAGAGAGGAAGTCTTAACCAGAAATGCCATATTAGAGCCTTCTTTAAAAGTATAGTTTTTAAACAATAATTTTGTTCCTTTAAAATTTCAGCAGTTATATGTATATAATGTAAAAGATTGATATAAATTCTGTCTTTTATTTACTGATAATCTTTTTCTTTACCACCTGTACCCTATTAAGTTGAAGTCATATAAACAAATATATAATGAAACAAATCATCAATAAATTAAAGAAAAAACAAAAAATTCCCCAATATCTACGTATGGTACAGACCTTAACTGATATATTTGCAATTACTGTTTATTTACTTGTTAATTAAAACTATATGTACATTTTCCTTTGCAAAGGATGTTAGTAGTTAACCTTGGTCCCAAATTTTATATCTTCCATGCAATGCTATATATTTTTCTTGGTATTATATCAAGAATTGTAGTTAGCTAGCAGCTAGATAGATAGATTATAGATAGATATATTTTAAATATTTTTATATATTTTATATAATATAAACTAATGAAGTTTATACATAGTAAATGTGTATGTATAAATGTATAATACATATTACATATAATTATGTAACATACATTTATTGATATTATTATATTATTGAAATACATTTGCCATTGTTTCCAGGCTTGCAGAGCTCTGAGGTATGCTGTGTGTATAATTGTTCTCTGTCATTGATCGAATGGCCCCTGCCAAACGGATAATGGCATTCACATTGTAGGTCATTTTTCCTTATTGGAATTTTGTGTCCTGAATAATTTATAATTTCATAAGATCATTCTTTGTAAAAATGTGCTCTGCCTCCACTATAAGCAAGTGATGATAGTTGTCTATAAGCCCATATAATGATATTAAAACAAATTGTCTGTTTCCAGTATTTAATGCTGTACTAAAATAGTTATAATATCACCTATGATACTGAGGTTATAGTTTAGATGTTTTCAGATCTTTTTCAGTTTAAACATTACACCTAACTAGTTTTAAGCAATGAACTTTGTTCATTTTATTTTGGAGATATGACATGTGACATCTATTCACATAAAAATATATGCAATTTACTCCAAAATTTGACATTAAATAATTGCTCAGATATATTAATATTAATGGTTTCAAATTCTTTATATTACCATTTAGAGACTCAAACTATTTTAATTGTTTATATGGTATAATCAAACCTGCCTTTAAATCTTACTTTCAAAAAGTGTAGCTGAGTAGTGGGAAGTGTTAGTGAAACAATATCGACTATAAGTCAATAATTTTTATTATTGAAACTTGAGCAGCTAAAAAGGTAAACCAGAGTAATCTAAAAGTTTGGCTTCAGAAATGGGGTTCAAAGCATTTAAAAGTGATTAATGACTTTGTGTTTTATCATTTGTTACAAAAAATTTTGAAGAGCAATAATAATAATTTTTGTATGAAATTGAAAATGCAATACATATCTTTTACTTTCTAAAAAATCCTTTTCATATTAGTTTCCAACAACTTTTTGGCCTTTATCACATATTTCAACATATTTGAATTTCTTTTATCTTTTAGTTAATATAACTTGTTCAGAACAAAAATATAAAATTTGTAGAGTTGTGCATCAACATTTTCTTATTTTTAATCTCATTAATATTTTCACTAGTTATCCATGTAAGAGCCATTGGAAACCTTCAAGACTTCCTCTTCTGTATACTTCCCATACTAAATCATCCTTGTTATTCTTTGGTTACATTCTTCTGATTCTCATTTGAAACCATTTTCTTTCTCTTCCTGTTCTTGACTCAGCTGAATATTCATCATCTCCCAATCGGAAAGTGGTGATAGCCTACCAACCATTATCACTATATTTGGTCTATTTTTTTTCCAGTCAATCCTCCAAGTTGCTAACAACATTATCATTCTAAAACATTAATCTAGTTATGTTACTCTCATGTTTTGACCACTTACTACCACAAGGTAAAGTGTAAATTCCTTACCTTGTCATTTATGAATTTTTATTATTTGATCATGACCTACCTTTTTAGAACCCAACTACAGCTATTTCAAACACTTTGGAATCTTTATTATTCCAAGTAAGTCTTATGATGTTTCAAGTTTTGATGTTTTTGTAGCTGATGTCTTTCTGTCTTGAATAATTATTGCTTTCCTCCACCAGATGTATAGTCACTTAAATTCTCTTTTCCGTAAAACCTCAATGATTACTCAGAAGTGAGTTCTCCCACTTCAGCTTTCCAGATTATTTCCAAGGCACAGATATATCATGTTCACCTTTTTATCTGTAACTCATTCCCTCACACATGATATGCATTTCAATTCATTTGTATTGAGTGATAGAATGAGTGACTGCATTTTATAGAGAATGAAATGAAGCATCAGTGTTTAGTAACAAAAGTTAACAAAGGAGCAGAGGTACATTTGAAACAGAGATACAGTTACGGATATGGTGAATTTTTTTACCAAAGCTGAAGAATCTAAGGTAGGGGTCTTGATAAGTTAAATTGTTTATATGAATGGTTGAATTAATGATGATGAAACTAAGAAAACAGTTTTGATTGACAATTACTTGAGGGCACTTATAAGAAAAAAAAAAGTATAGTTTTGTAAAAGTAACCAGGATTTGTTTCAATCAGCTATAGTAAGACATGCAGACAGGAATATTACTGTTATGAAGAAAGAAGTCTATTATACTCATAGTTTCCTAGAGACAGGAGGCAACACCACATCACACAGGATGGGGGGCAGGAAAAGGGAAGGTACCAGGATCCGTTGGGAGGCAGAAGGAGCAAGAGAACATGTGGGCAAGTAACTTTATTTTGATTTTCTCAGGAAGGGATGAGCAAGGCAGTTTAGGATTGGCTAGTTTGAATAACTTCAATGGGGTCTGGGGCATAGAAGCTGTCCCTTTTGTTAGGTACTTGGTCCTGGGATGATTAGAGTCAGTGGATAGTATCCTGGAGTATGAGTTTTTAAAGGAGCTTGTTGAGGATATGTACTCTGGATTACTTGAATTGCATATAAAAGGTGCACTACCAATGAGTTATCTCTCTCTAGGAATTGGCTAACCCTAGGAAGGGTAGTCCCTCCAGGGTAAGCAATCCCCCAAGACCTCAAAGCATCAGAATAAAGAAAAAAACATAGTAAAACAATTAGAAATAGGATAAAGCTTTATGAAATGACTCTCAAACAATGATGAGGTAACCAATAATGAATATTTATCACTTCCTCCTTGCTTTGAAACATGAAAAAAATGAAAAAGAAAAATCTTTATTTATAACTCTTTGCCCATTGTGAACTTACGAAGTATGTCAGTTAGTACCTGTAGCTGAGAGAAAGAGCCCTGAATGCAGAGGCTTTGTTTGCAAACAGCTCAAATAGCAAGATTTTATGATTGAAAAATTGAAAGCACTCTCTATATAAAGCACAGCCAGAGCAAACAGCTCCAGCAGTGAGTGGCAAAGAAAGCATATTTCATCCACAGAAAATGACTGTGATGCATTAGTCAATGCTATCATGGCAAAGGTCCCTGAGACCCTGGGAGACAATAGGGAGGGAGCAGGGGCTGGATGACATTTGTTTCCAAACCTTTCGGGATCTGAAAAGTCATTTCTATCAAATTAGTGGCTATGGTGTGGCACATCCACTTCTAGTTTGCAAGAGATAAAGACTGATGAATTAAAACTTTAAAGCAAGGTAGAGTGAAAGACAGAAAAATATTTTTCAGCCACTGTAGTTCAAATCCATTTATAAGCACTGCCTGTCTGGACTGTTACCCCATCCATCTTCCTTTTGTGCAATTCATCAATCCTCTTTTACTCAGGGATAAGTAGTAACCTTTCATTTACACTCAACTGAGGCGTTAGTGCCAGGGACATCGGAGGTCAGCTGGTGGATTCTTTCCTGTTAATGGCCAAATGAGGGACATGGATTGAAGGAACCACAGGAAGCCAAGCTTCTCTAGCTTAAAGGATGCTTTCTTAAATCCTTAGGTAGGTAGTTTGGTGAGAAAACAAGTATGCCCTTATTTTAAAAGTGATTCACTAACTCTGGAGACCTGTTTCTGTTAAAAATCACATTAATGCACATTTCTTCGTTTCCACAGAAAATTAAATAGAAATTTGTGGCCAAATTACTTTCTCAGCTGAGACAAAGATAATTGCATAAAAGCCACTATCATTGACCTTAATATAAAACAGGACACGGTTAGCAACTGTGAAATTATGAAAGATTTTGTTCTCCATTAGCTTTTCTTTTCTGGCCTGCTCTGAAAGTGCATTCAGCATAGCTGGAAGCCCTACTTCTCTATCCAAGAGATAAAGAATGTTAAGCTCCTGCTGCCTTCTCGTTCATTTTCTTTTTTTTTTTTTTTTTTTTTTTTTGCAGACTTAGTGAAGAAAGCAAGAGGGCTATAGCTATAGCTACAGCTACATGACAGAAGAAAGTGCTTTAAAAAGATACCACTCACACGGAAAAGAAATGTGCTCTTGGAGGAAGACACTCTGTCAACCCATATAGATTGTTTAAGATTTGATTATGAACATAAAAGGATACTTGATTATAGTATAATCTCTCAGTAAAAAGCCCTTCTATGTGAATTGGAGAATGACTTAAATTTTCTACCAGGGACACTGAAGTTGAAGCATAAGATGAAGAAAGATGAGGAACTGATAAGTTAAACCATGATCTCTGCCACAAAACAGAGAAGGCTAAGGATAAGAATGAATTTGATGTGATAAAAACAAACTCACAAAAGACTTGAAGTTTCTCTCTGAAACTAATAGGAACCCTTGCCTACTCTACTTATCTAGCTATAATTACATAAACATTTCCAAAGCAATTGTGATAAGCTGTGAAATTCACCAAAGACATTTTCCCACGATTATCAAGAGGTAAACACTGTTTTTATTTTGTGACATCTCTTATAAACTAAATACATACATAGCTCCATAAAATGTAGAAAAGGAGGGTGAAAGATGTAAAAAGCATAATGATTGCTTTCAACAGAAGAAAAAATTCTTAAAATAAAGCCCTCTTACAGGCTCAATTTAAATTCCGTAATTACTTATTGAACACGTACTATATGAAATGCACAGAATAAGGTCAAGCATAAAAATCTTATGTATGTTCTCTGGCTTCCAAGTTGCACAAAATCTTACAGGGCAGAGGAGCCAAATAAAGAACTATCTTGCAAGGAGAAGGGTGATAATGCTACACAAGTCCTTGTATGCCTCATAGAAGTGAATTTACTCAAAGAATACCAAATCTTTGTAGACAAGTTCTAGCTTTTGAATTTGCTGAACTATGTGTTGTCCTGGTAACACAATTGAATCCACTTCTTTATTTAAATCTCCACTGAACTGAATGCATTTCAGTGAAAATCTATTCTTTCTTTCTTTCTTTCTTTCTTTCTTTCTTTCTTTCTTTCTTTCTTTCTTTCTTTCTCTTTCTCTTTCTTTCTTTCTCTCTCTCTCTCTCTTTTTTTTTCTGTATCTCTAGTGCCACTCAGGGCTAAAGTATGAAATAGGAGCACAATACATTATTTGTTGAGCTGAAATAAAACAGAGAGTGACAGCTCTTAAGATAACTTTAAACCAAAACTAAAATTCTAATGTGTCCCCAAACCAGCCATCTGAATGGACCTCTCTTCTTGGCTGAGGACATTCCAAAATGAGTTCAGGCCATGTCAGGAAAGAAAGGTTGGACATTGCTCATTATACTCTCCTCCCTTTGGGAATTCAGGAAAAGCCAACTAGTATTTAACATCAACACAGACCTTAAGTCTGATAAGAAACATTTATAATCTATCCTCTCTGAAGCCTGTTGCCTGGACGCTTCACCTGCATGATAAAACTTTGCTCGCCACAACCCCTTATCATTGTAACACGGACATTTCTTTCTATTGATTCCAGGTCTTTAGATAATAAATGAACTCTTTCAACCAATTGCCAATCAGAAAAAATTTAAGTTTACCTATAACCTGGAAGCCCCCACTTCAAGTTGTCCTGCTTTTCCAAACAGAACCAATGTATATCTTACATGTATTTGATTATTGTCTCATGGCTCCCTTAAACATATAGAACTAGGCTATACTCCAACCACCTTGGACACATGTTCTCAGGGTATCCTGAAGGCTGTGTCATGGGTCACTGGACACTCATATTTGGCTGAGAATAAATCTCCTCAAATATTTTTTAGAGTTTGACTCTTTTTGTCGATAGAACAGTAACAATTGCCTATTTTTCTATCCTGTTCTTTTTTTTGTTTTGTTTTGTTTTTCCGAGACGGAGTCTCGCTCTGTCGCCCGGGCTGGAGTGCAGTGGCGCGATCTCTGCTCACTGTAAGCTCCGCCTTCCGGGTTCACGCCATTTTCCTGCCTCAGCCTTCCGAGTAGCTGGGACTACAGGCGCCCGCCACCATGCCCAGATAATTTTTTTGTATTTTTAGTCACGCCCGGCTAATTTTTTTGTATTTTTAGTAGAGATAGGGTTTCACCGTGTTAGCCAGGATGGTCTTGATTTCCTGACCTATTGATCCGCCCACCTTGGTCTCCTAAAGTGCTGGGATTACAGGCTTGAGCCTCCGGGCCCGGCCTTTTCTATCCTGTTCTTAATACCAGATTGACACACAGCTGATGCTAAGATATGTGGTTTATAATGATTTCTTTCCGTCTCTCTAATTCTGACATAGCTTTTTAAAAATGCTTATCTAAAGGTTAATAATTTCATTGAAACCACAGCCTAGATGCTGGGGTCATTGATAAGTATTTGTGTTTGATTATTATTTTTAAAATTATCATTTAGTAAAATTGACATTTTTATTGTGTGGTGTAAAGATTTATGAATTTTAACATGTTTGGGTTGGTGTAACCACCACTACAATTAGCACACAGAATAGTTCTATCAGTGCAAAAAGCTCTCTCATGGTATCCTTTGTAGCCATTTCCTCCCCTACCGATAATCTCTGACAACCAGTGATCTGTTCTCTAGAATGTCCAATCTTTGGTAGTAATGGGAATTTTAGTTCATTTTCCAAAAAGTGTCTTATGTTGTAATAGTTGGAACTCATGCATTTAGGTAAGAAAAAACATATTATGTCTTTAAATAATGCATTTAAAAATAAACGTTAGTAACTGTATCTTTTTCAAATGTGTTTTTTCTCTATGTCGCTGGGTTTTTTGGTTTTATGGTCCATGAAAGAGAACAGAAATGAAGAAGACACATACACACGCATTTCCACTCATTATTTCCCCTGCCTTAAAATTATTAACTTGGTCCTTCCTCAAAATATTTATACTTTAATTAAAATGGCTGAAGGCAAATCTAATTTTTATAGGTGATCACTCCTCACTGATCTCCCATTATAGGTACAGTTGCTATAATTACTCCTGAATTAAAGAAACATATAACTTCACAATATAAAATGTCTCCCACAACCATGCATTCCCTTCTCCCATCTGTTGGGTAAGTTGTGAGGTTTTTCAGGACTTCCTTTCTCAAATTAACAAAAGTTGAATATTTTAATAGAAGAAAAGTGGAGGTTCAATAGGAAAATCAAAAGGTCTTTATGGTGAAAGTGTACTTCATGTATTTTGGGGTATGTCAAAAAATGAAATTATACAGTTTGTGACCTTTTGAAACTGGTTTCTTTTACTCAGCATAATGACTTTGAGATTTACTGAAATTGTTGTGTGTATTCCTAGTTCATTCTTTTTTGTTGCTGAGTAGTTTTCTTGGAATTTTATCTGGATAAGTAAAGAGTAGAATAGGGTTCCTATTAAGAGCTTCAGAGAGGAACTTCAATGGAATACACCACAGTGTGTATACTCCCGTTTGCCCATTGCAAGATGTTTGGATTGTTCTAGTTTTGAATGTCTATTAATAGAGCTGCTTTGAGCATTCATTCACATATTTATGCATGAACGTAAGCTTTCATTTTTCTGGGGAAAATATGCAGAAGTCGGATTGCTTGATTACTTGTTAAGTGTATGTTGAACTTTATGAGAAACTGTCTCATAGCTTTTTTGTGTTATTTTTATAAAATTGCTTCAATTTCCATTTACAGCCCCCAAACCAAATTTTTTTAAATGGTTTTTCAAAATTTTACAGTAGGTGTTAAATACACTTAGGAAAATCTCTCAACAATTTTCTAAATACATAATCATTGAAAGTACTCTATTGATAGCTTTTTAAGTTAAAATATAGCTATCTGAGAAAGTTTAAATTAAGAAAATAGAGTTCTAATACTTTATGATAAACAATTATGTAAGTGCTTATTAATTTGTTTTCATTATTGACACAGTGTATGGATATGTATAGAAGAATTAGGAAAACAAATACTCTATAGTAACTCACTATAACATGTTAAAGTGCCTTTTAGTGTATATTTGTAGTTTATTTAAAGGACAATTACTTACATATAAAGTTGGAGAGAAAAATATTAGCAAGCTAACATTAATCTAAAATTAGCATTTCCCCATTTTCTATCTATGCATTGCCATAGTCTTAAAAAACAAAATAGATAAGAAGGAAAATCATATAAATAAGTTCACTTTTATGAACATTTTTGTTTGACATTTAATCAGAATAGCAGTATTGACCAGGCTCCTTTTTATTAATTTGAAGAATTTTTAAAGAACAAAAATATTGCATCCATCAGTTGTAATCCATCAGCTACTTGTCAAAAAAAATAGTTATGAGTTATTTAGTCTTCCCTCTGACAAAACTTACAGTGTGTCTGCAAAAGCCATGGCTTTTAAAGCATGATTAGTAATACTTTAATTCAACATAGGAGCAAAAATTGGATTTTTGTTTGCTCTGTGCTTTATGGCTCATGAATTTAACTTAACTAAGTAGTCAAAAAATATGTGAAAACAGCTACAGTGGGCTGTTGACCATGTTTGCTTATATTTTTCAATAATGCTACTTTTCATTTTGGCTAAGTCAGCTTTTCATAGAACCAACATCTATCCTTAAACACCTATGTATCACGACAAAACGGTGAAACTATCAACTGCTCTATTTATCTCAGCTCATTGAACAACACTTGCTTATCTTGCTTTTGTGTGTGTGTGTGTGTGTGCGTGCATGTGTGTGTTAGCCTAATTCAGCAAACCCAAGAACCAGACTATTGATTCATTTAAAAAATGTAACCCATTCCCCATAAAATGTTGAGAACCATGAAAAGATCATATTGCAGGTAACACTATTAGCTTAAGGGAAGAACACACCATCTTCGCTTTTCAATTATAATTCCTAACTAAATCCCAATGTGTGCTTCTTAATGAGATGAATTGAGTGGTCTGGCCAGTTCAATCACAGACCATTGCTTGCTCAGTATAAACATCTTTTTATTTCACAAAGGCCTTGAATTGCTTATAACCTCAGTGATCCTAGCTGTTTCAAAATGTGGAGAGGCCAGACATGGTGGCTCAAATCTGTATAACAGAACTTCGGGAGGCAAAGGCAGAAGGATGGATTGAGGCCAAAAGTTTGAGACCAGCCTGGGCAACATAGCAAGACCCCATCTCTACAAAAGAAAGAATAAAAATAAATATTAGCTGGGCGTGATGGCATGTGCCATAGTCCCAGTCACTCATGAGGCTGAGGTGGGAGGATCACTTAAGCCTAGGAGTTGGAGGTTGCAGTGAGCTATGAATGCACCAGTGCACTCTAGCCTGGGGAACAAAGTGAGAACTTTTCTCTAAAACACATAATAAAAACAACAACAAAACCCAAAATGTGTAGCTACAACTCCAAAGTTTTGCAGTTGAGAAAGCTAAAAGAACTTCTTTATTATGAATTGGGACATAATAATGTACCAAGATAATTTTATGCATGGATCACAAATCTTTTCATCTATATCTCTTTATCTTGAACATTGCCCCATATTGTATACATATTTTAATCCTAGCAACATACTTTCTTTTGCAGATTTATGAAGTAGAAAATCAGCTTCCTTTGTCTACAATATATCAAATCTCACTTCTCTGTGTTAAAATGTTGATTGTCAATGCTAATTTGCTAACTGAAGATATCTTAGGCTAGAGATCATAAGTCAGTGGCAACAGCTATCATTTAGTTGTGGATCTTTGGAACACTATCTATATTTAGGAAGATTGGAGGGCCACATTTGGCTTTGAGGGCAAGAATGTTGAGACAGTGGCCATTCCAAGGGGAGTTTACATTTTAATGGGAGACTTTCAGAAAGAAGAGAATCTTTTAGAATTTACAGACATGTAATTACAAAGATTAAGTAACTTATTTCAGTTTTGGTTGTATATTTTTAATGGAGCAGTAGGTGAAATCAGGCCGACATAGTTGGGTGGAGCCAGCACAAAAGGAAACCCTATTTTCCTCCCAGAACGGCTTACTGACAAACTCTCCCTTTATCTTCCTTATTACAGCTAAATATGTTTGTAGGAGTCATTTTCCTTTTCAGAAACCTTCCCTGCTGATTGCTATCAAACAGGTGGTTGTGAATTCACTTACTATTTTCAGCTCCATCAATTCAGAAACTAGATTGTGGTCCTACAGTGTTAAGTCTGGTAAAGAACAGTCCTAGGACTAATAAGTAGATATGAATTTGGAAAATCAAATGACTTAAACTTTGAAGTCCGTAAGGACTTTATGACCTTGATTTCTCGTAGACATGTTCATGACATGGCTGCTTTCCCCTGATGATGTGTGTAACTGTAGTTGGCAGTTTTATTTTAAAATATTACTTTAAAAAGCCATGTAATCCCTTTTATTTTTCAAATGATGAACAATTTATACTAGTATTAAAATGTCTCATGATAAAATGCCCAGCGGTCCCTTTCAAAATCTGACATCAAAAGCATATTACTTTAATTTGACATAATTGGTTTTTATTCATCTATTTAAAGATTTCTATATACTGTTGTTATTTTAAAAAAAATCAAAGGCAATCAAAGTATAAAATTAATGCACTGTGAATTTAATTAGAAAGCTTTTGAAAAATCAAAAACCAAATTATGTCGGCCTACTGAGTTCACCTACTAATAAATATATGATCATTTCAGTATTTTACAACCTATTCCTTATATATTTTATTTTTTTCCAGATTAAATAAATTTGAGACAGTGTATATAACATTTCTTAAATGTCTCACAATGTGTAAGAACATCAGTCATTCAGAATTTTTTTCCCTCATTTAAAAAGGGAATTGTTAAGTTTTGTACTATTCATCATTAATTGACTGAATTCTTTGAGAAAGAAAAAAATAATGATCACATTGGGTTTCTGAGCTTTTGTCTAAGCCAGAACTTCCTCAAACCCATGACATAAAGTCCTCAGGGAGACAGCTCTAAGCAACATTTTAATTGTTCAAAAACTTGAAAGAACTATATTTCTCTCTTTTTTCTCATAATGAAAACTATTATTTTATATATGCAGAAAAGAAAGTTCAGACAGAGGAGAAGAATGGAGAAAAACACTTTATTTTTTTAACCACTGGTTACTTATAAAGATAATTTCTTAATATTTCAAGTTTTCTATGTTCCAAATGAATCTCTCTTTTTTTCTTTCCTCTGTTATCTTTTCTCTTTCTAACATTCACCCAGTTCAGGTGGGATTTTATGACGGGGTGGAAAGAGAAAAGAGGGACCAAACTTTTCCATAGAGTCTGAGTGTTTAAATTCTGTGAAGGAGCTATCACTGAAAATTCGACTTATTTATTGTTCTATAACATATTATTGACAAATCCAAACTGTTTTTCTAATGCTTTTATCGGTGTCCATGGCTCAAATAACAATAAAATAAAATCATTAAGAAAGAGTCATTCTTCTGTCAATCGACTTGTTTGTTCATCATGCAAATATTTAATAGACATTTCTAATGAACCCTGGTACAAATACCGCCATTAATTTCAGGTATTGTGATAGACACAGAGTTTTTGGAAGGGAAGAAGATAGACACAGACCTATCCCCAAATAGATTATATGTTTGGTATAGGAAGACACACGTTAAACCAAAAATTATACTAACTAATAACGATTGTCATAAATGCAAATAAAAGAAGTACAGAGTGAATTTATATAAAGAAGACAAGATCAAGATTGGAACTAGCAACTTGTGTAAGGTTTATATAACTAACTTTATTGTAAACAATTTCATCAGTTTAACTAAGTATACAAAACATACATATTAACGTTTGTAGGCTTAAATTTATTATTTTATCAATTTTGATAATAAGTGTATAGCAGAATATAAATTATATAGACAGAATATATATATGTTTGTATATATATTTATAGTTTTTACTGATATAAGGACATGTAGCTCACAATTTATAAAAAATAAATTTATAATATTCTGTTATACATTTCCTATAACCAATTGACTTTTTTTCAGAATATTTTTATTGATTTTTGCTGACTCTTGTATCTATAACAAAACTATGGTTATAGCTGACAAATGAGCGCAATTTTTATATAAATATTGTTTAATATTTCATTTACATTGCTAAGACAAAAGTGAAACAATAAAACTATATGTTGGAACTTTATTAGATCTTCAATGTGAGTAACTTCTTTGCTGAATTGGTTAATAATTTTAGAGACCATTGGAAGGGAATTTTCTTGGACTTTTTTGGTATTCTTAATGTAATGGCTAGAGGCATATGCACTTTTAAGTTTAATCTGCATTATAAAGATTTTATCCAACATTTTTTAAAGCCCAGCCAATCAAATGAACAACAAATCAAGCCTTGATTTGTAGCATTTGACAATTTCCATGGTGCTAGTATTCCTCCAATGGCTGATTTCAAACTAACAATGTGATCACACTAACAATGTGTAGTAGCACACCATCATGTAGTTTTTCCAACAAACAAATACAATAGCAGAAATAAGCTCAAGGGCACAGTTGATAACAAAATGTACTAAAATAACGAGAACCTGAGGAGTTTTGAGTTTTGTTTGTTTATTAATTTACTTACTTATTTTTATTTTATGTATTTATTTATTTTGAGACAGAGTCTCACTCTGTCTCCAGGCTGGAGTACAGTGTCGCGATCTCTGCTCACTGCAACCTCCGCCTCCTGGGTTCAAGCGATTCTTGTGCCTCAGCCTCCCGGGTAGTAGCTGGGATTACAGGTACACGCCACCACACCCAGCTAATTTTTGTACTTTTAGTAGAGACGTGGTTTCATCATCTTGGCCAAGATGGTCTTGATCTCCTGACCTCATGATCCTCTGGCCTCAGCCTCTCAAAGTGCTGGGATTCCAGGCTTGAGCCATCACGCCCAGCAGAGTTTTGTTTATTTATTTAACTTAGCAAGTGCTTACAAAATTCCTGAAATTTTAACAAGCAAGTGGCTCTAGCATGCCACTGATGGATATTCAGCAAAATAAACTATTCTGGAAAGTTCATCACTGTATATCTCAGTTCTGGCTCCAACATTTTATAGCAGGTGGTCTTGTTAGGATTGATTTGTTTAGGAAATTGAAAATATGTTCAGAGGCCCAGGAAGAACAAAACAATGCTCACAATTTGGTTTGCAGGTCCAGGATTTTGATGCCAGGTTCCTTTTCATGACTTCAGATTCCGAAGATACTTTGTCTTCTTGATGGACAAAAGTCACTTTCACTTTGGTCATTTTTACCTGAAATGTAATTGTTCTGATGGAGTGGATGCTTCATTCATTCAGAATATCCAGGAGTTTGTACTCTGAAGGTTGCCCCAGTAATTTAAAGACAACGTTGTCCAATTTTTTTTACTCAAACCCAGGTACAAATGATAATTCTTTCCATTGTGTTAGGTGTTTGTACTCTGAAGGCTGCCCCAGTAATTTAAAGACTACATTGTCCAATTCCTTTACTCAAACCCTGGTAAAAATGATGATTCTTTCCATTGTGTCTTTTGCATCCTGTGCACATATTTAATGCCTTACATTCTCTTTTTTTTGGCAGATATTCATTTCCTGCTTTATTTTGTTGATTATAAAACTCGTTTTGGAAGAATTTTTGACACTACATGCATTTGACACTCTAGTTAGCACTCAGTACAAGTTTACCACATAAATATATGAATGAATGGCAAGAGAGTTGCTTTTCCTGGTCTGGCAGGTGTCTTAGTAGAGTGTGCTCCCTTGGACTGGCATTTTCATATGCGCTGAAAGTATAGGTCCAAGTTTCACAGATGTCACTCATTTCCATTACTTGAAACTTATCTGACCATTTCATAAAATTATTTGTAGAAATTAGTTCTGACTTAAATATTTTCTCTTGGCAGTGAAATCATCCTGACTTCTGGATCTTTCTCAACCAAGTCCTATAATTGTTGGTATCTTTATGATCAAAGACAGATGAAGTTTCCTCATATACTTTAATCATCATCCTCTTCATACATTTATTTAAATATGTAGATCATCAACTATGTAGGAGACAGAAGGCTAGGCTTGAAAGTCACAGTCATGAATAAGGTATGGTCAATTTCTTTTATGACCTGACAACCCGATGATGAGGGAAAATTGAAAGGTACATGGAGAAAGTATAAAACACAGTAAGAGTTATTAAGTAAGGGTGAACATAGTTTATCTAGGAATGGACTTCTAAGTAACGCATTTTGTTTTATCATTCAGACTATCTCCAATTTATAAGGAAATTATAAAGAGAGTAAATGGGGCTATTAGGAAAGCAAATACTTCTCAAAATATTGTAAAACATTTGCCATCTTTCAGATCCTGAAGGAGTAAAATTTCTGTTTTTACCTTATGCACATAATTATTCTAATTAATTCAAAGCTACATTTCATATTGCGTTTTAATATTTTTATTCCTATGGAAATTTTATCTTCATTTTTTTAAATTAAAAATGATACTTTTTATTATCTTTTCAAAAAGTCTAATGCGCTGGGAATATTGAAGCCAGTATCACGTTCCTGGGTAAATATTAGTTTAAACTGTTTTGCTGTTAAGCTACTGCTAAGTTGTGCATAGAAGTAACTAATAAATAAAGGAAGGGAGGGAGTACAAGAGGAAGGGAGGGAGTAAAAGAGTAAGGGAGGAGGAGAGAGATCTCCCACAATGAATTTCATTTTCCATAGTTGAAATAATAGTTTATTGAATCATGGCTATTTAAATGTCTAAGTGAAAAGGGAATATAATTAGTCAACTAATATCATATTGTACTGCTGTGCAAATTAGAAGCAGAAATAGCCTTCTCAACTGTATGTTCTGTTCTCCTGTGTATGTGAGACAAGTTTTCATATTAATCATTTATGTTTCGGTGTAAATTTTAAATGTATCAACATTATTTTCATTAAGTTAACATGTTCTTTATTTTCTAATCCTTTTTACCCAGGAAATTCACAGTCACATTTTAAATAGAATCTTAACACAAATTATATAATCTATCTGTCTGTCATCTCTCTATCATCCATCTATCTATCCATCTATCAATCCTCCAACCATCTTATAATCTGTCATTTATTGCTGTTTATCTCCACTTCACTCTGTCTGTCTCTCTCCTGTCTGGATCCCTTTTTCTTTCCTATGGCTCTAGCTACCTCTGTCTCTAATACATAATTTGCTTATTTGCCTTATTTATAGAAAGGAGAAAGTAAATGCCTGTGTTGATTGAATGAGATTGCATAGTAATTGCAAAAAAAAAAACACCCCAAACTATGCTAAGATGTAGAGTCTGAGAAATTGATTAGGTTTGCTGACCATCTAGTGGACCCCTTCTCAATAGCTGGACCCCTGGACAGAGAATTAGCATCAGCAAAGCTAAAATTTACTGAGCCTTTAGTATGTGCCAAGCATTCTGCTAGGTGTCATCTGATTTAGACTGCACAACAGAAATACATGAGGTCATTACTGTTACTATCTATAAAGAGCAGGCACCAAGAAGGTAAGTAACTTACCTAAAGTCACAAGGGTAAGTAGAGAGGCCAAGAATCAAATCCAGGCAGTCTGATTCCAGGGGCATAGCATTTTCATGAATTTGGAGACTCCTTATTCTCCTAGGTAGGCAAAATCTCATGCTTGGTTGCAGTAAATATTTTTCTAATTCTACACGATATTTTATCACTTAATTCACACAGAAATAAATTTCTACAATTTAATTCACATGCATCGTTTATATAAAATGTGCAAATAAATGTGAAATAATTTTTAGCACAAACTTTTAAGGAAAACACAATTTAGAATATTCTTTCTTTGGAATTTGTAGAATTTGGCACAGCTTGATATTGAAATATTATGTTTCATGTAAAATGCACAAACAAGTGGTCACACACGGAACTGTTTACATATGTCATGAATTATAAAGGGATAAATAAACTGTAGTTTAGATGATATAGCGACATAGATCAATTGATTAAGTAAAGTTATATCATTAAAATCATTGCCGAGATAATATGGTTCCTTAAGGTTAGAACACAAATAAGATTAAATAAAGGGCAAAACTGGGTTGTTTTGAAATGATTCAATTGTTCCTCATTTATGATTTTTACAGACGACACTTTTAGCTCCAAGGCCATTCCTGCTCACAATTGACACACATAAATGGATACTTGAGTGAAATTTTTCCATGAACGTCAAGGTTCTAAAGTAATTATTATTAAAAATAAAATTATTATAATCAGGCAATAATTGTGTGACATAGGAATACATTCATAAACTATATTTTTAGTAATTAAAATATGAGAACAATTCATTTATGACTTGTTTAGGCTGCTGAGCAGTGATTCTTTATTATCTAAAAAAATGTAAGTTTTCTTTTTTTTAAATTATACTTTAAATTTTAGGGTGCATGTACACAACGTGCAGGTTTGTTACATATGGACACATGTGCCATGTTGATGTGCTGCTAAGTTTTCATATGCACATGAAGAAAGGAACAACAGGCACTGGGACCTACTTGAGGATTGGAGTGGGAGGAGGGTGAGGATTGAGAAACTACCTATTGAGTACTATGCTTACTACCTGGGTGACGAAATAATTTATACACACTAAGCGTGCAATTTACCTATATAGCAGCCCTGCACATGTACCCCTGAACCTAATATAAAAGTTAAAAAATATGTTTTTATTATCTGTCACTTACAAAATGTCTTATCCAGAGTAAGTTCAGTTTTAATTAATTCTTAGCACTTATGCCAGAATAAAATAAAAATTATATTTTTAAAGACCCACAAAGTAAGGCTAATTTTAGGGCCTGAGGCCCTTCAACAAAGTAAAGGTTTACATGTGTCTATGAAAATATAGCTCATCCTTAAAAAAAAAATCCCTGCTACTTAAAGTAAGATTACAGCTATTAAAATTTTTATCTCTTCTGGCCTATTTGAACCCAAAATAAACTTCCTATGTCACCTCATCTTGAATTCAATTTTTAAAATGTGGTCTTTTCAAATTGTATTATGCACACCAGTCTAGAATAAAATGTATTGCTTCTCTGCCTTCTAGTCATCTTTTAGCATGTACATGCAATTTCGACTTCCTATCTTTATTTGTGGCTATTGACTATCACTGTACTTATAAAATACTCACTTTAGTAGATGCGTAGCTCGTAGAGTTGAAAATATTAGCATCTGCAGTTCTGTAAACATTTCTCACAGTGTCAGTGTACAAAATACAAGACTCCTCAAATGTCAAAATAATTCCCATCGGTATCAAAGAATGATAGTTATGTGAGGTAAGCTTGGAAATACTAAATTTAGGTACTGTATACTATACAATATGAAAGGGAAGATCTGTTGACCCCAACTCTTCATTCTCTTTCCACTTGCCACCTTCTTATTTCATTTAGGTCTTTTATATGTATATTCTCCAGTTATGGAAGTTCATTTTTGAAAACTTTCTATAGCTGCTATCTAAAATGGGTGTCTGAATTGCATGTCTTCCTCTTCTTGGAAATTTTATTGCAGACAATCTCTCATTTTAATTCAATGTTGTTTCCATTCTTATTTATAATTTTCTTTTCAAAGGAATAAATTGTAATTATTATGTCTATGTAAGTGTTTTTTTTTTTTCCTGAATTGCAACTATTGGATGTTAGGGAAGAAATTCATATGTATTGTGTTTCTCTGGCAAGAAATACGGCTTGTGTTTTACGTCACTCATTCTTACATGAGTAAAATCTAATTAAACTGATACTGCTGTCTCCAAAATAAATGTAGATTATCATGCATCATCCTTTTACTTCATTCTGTAGGAGGCCAGGATTCACTGGGCAATACGTTTTTTTAATTTCATGTGCTTAAAATGAAAATATATTTACAAGCAAGAAAGAAAGATGTTTGAACACCAAGACTAAAAAGCTAATATTAGTGTCTTTCCTCCTCACTTCACTGTCCCTAGGTTCTTGGTAGATGTCGATTGAAGTATTCAGATTTTGTATATGCCCAATTTAAGTGGCTTGTTTTACTGAATTTATCTAGACAATAAAATAAACCAGTAGACTTAAGTGATTGGCAGAATATTTAGCTGCAATATTTTTAGACACAGCCTCATTATCTTTAGAGATAATTCCAGACTTATGTTTTTATAGTACACAGTACTACTAATGTCATTTATGATTAGTAAGGATTTGGTAGAATTAAAATTTCATTTTATTTATATTAGTGGGGATTTGGGGATCATTCTTATATTTTCTGATGTCTCTAATATGTGATTTCTCATGTTTTTCTTCCGTTCAGAAAAACTTTATCCTTCTTTTTTCTCTTCCACTTGGTTTATTCTTTTCCATTTCTTGGCTTTTTGCCCTTGGCCTTCAAAGTCCCTTTGTACTTTATTTGCCATTTCTTTATTTGAAGATTTTCTGCCCATGCTCTTAGAACTTGTGTACCTGGCATTCAGTTCCATTGCTTGAGTGTCCAGCACAACACAACACGCAATAAAAGGCTTTGATGTATCTATTATTAATAGATAAAACCTAAAAATGTGCTAAGAAAATCCAAAAGCATGTGTTTCTGGGGCAGTGTCATGAAACAGAGTCATAAAGCTGAAAAATCAATAACAGGCATTATATGAATAAGGTAAGTTAGCCAAGTCTTAAAATCTTGATCTAAATGTTTTCATGCAGAGATAACATTACTGAGGAGTTTCTGTCTCATGAATAAAGCATAACATTCTTTATCCACATCTTATAATTCCAAAATTTTCTTATTTTTAATTAACTCTATGGCTGTCTACCTAAATCCAGTCTGCATTTCTTCTGTAGTAATAAATAGCACTCTCCAATTTTAGGTGGACACTCGCCCCCCTACCCAAATACAAACTAAATTGCTCAAATTTCCTTTTAGTTAAACAGTATCAAATTTCCATAAAATATGGTGATATTTAAGGGTAATTGGTTTAGGCAACTTTTCAAAAGTATACTTAAAAAGAAGATTAATGCTTTCTTGTTCACTATTTTTGTAGCCAGGAGATAGATGTATTGACTTAATGTATAATAGCTAGCTTGCGCCACAAAGTGGAAGCTTTGAGATTAATGAAACAAGATAGAAGAAGTTGTGATCCTGGGCAATTGTGTAATTACCAAACCGGGACAAGACTGCTCTTATAACACATAAATGAGTTTCTATATTGTTTAAGCCACTATCATTTTTGGTTTTCTATCTTTATGTAAACTTAATTCAATGAACATAAGCTCCCATTTTTTTGCAGCTAAATTGAATTTTGAAACTATTTTGCTTTGGGATATTTTGTATAGTCCTGATTCTTCAGTTTGTGTTGGTGTGCTTGTATTGGGAGCTGATTCACTACAGCAAGTACTCACTCACTATACTACATAATGGCTCTGAAAGATATCTTTTAATTTTTATCAGCGGAACACTGGAGGAGTAGATTTTGTCCATTTGTTCATTTCTCACACCCTCCTTTTAAGTCTGCTTTGTTTTTTTCTTCTATTCTTATTTCTTTCTTCTATTCTTCTTACCTTATTTCTTCCTTCTATCCTCCTCATTTTGTATGTCTCCTAGTTGCACATGACCTAGAACTGGAACTAATTCTAGATACCTCCCTGTCTCTTAATTATATCTTCCAATCAATCATCAAGTGCTGTCAATTCTACTTTCAAATTATTTCCCCTACTTCTCCCTGACTCTCCATTCAAGTCTATTTTTACATTGTCCTGCCTCAGATTTTCTCATGTCTTCCCAGCAGCAGTGATCTCACATTGCACACGGCAGCCTTTTTTATCTGTGTCCTACATTCTGTTCCCCTTATCACTTTGGAGAAATTGAACATACATTTTGATCATGATGCCTTATTATTCAAATTCCTTCAGTGACATTATCATCCCCAGAAGTGGTTACATACCATCTTGTGATAAACCCTGAGAGGTTCCTCCATTGTCCTCAGTATTGATAGAAAGGCAGGTGAGGCAGGACTCTGGCCACCCTGCCTCCCTTCACCACACACATAATTGCCCAAGAATAGGACCACTGCAATTAGTTCTCTAATAGCATGTATGGTCATGTGTCTGGATTGTTTTTCCCTTTCAATTTAACAAAATCATTTTAGTATGTTATATTTGGCTAGAAAAAAGCCATTTACTTCAGTGTTTCAAAGTTATTCATTTGGAGTTACACATTGAATTGCTTTTAGTACTTTTATATTTTCTTATTTTTCAATTTACAATCTTCATTCTCTTTTTTATTTTTGTGGATACATAATAGGTGTATATATTTATAGAGTATATGAGATTTTATGATACAGGCATGCAATGTGAAATAAACACATCATGGAGAATGGGGTATCCATCCCTTCAAGCATTTGTCCTTTGAGTTACAAACAATCCAATTACATTCTCTCAGTTTCTTTAAAATGTTCAATTAAGTAATTATTAATTAAAGTCACCCTGTTGTGCTATAAAACAGTGGGTCTTATTCATACTTTATATTATTATTTTTTTTTTTTTGCTGAACCATTAACCATCACCTCTCCACTAACCCCCCACTACACCTCCCAGCCTCTGGTAACCATCCTTCTACTCTCTATGGCCATGAGTTCAATTGTTTAATTTTTAGATCCTACAAATAAGTGAGCACATGTGAAGTTTGTCTTTCCGTGCCTGGCTTATTTCACTTAACATGATGATCTCCAGTTCCGTCCATGTTGTTGCAAATGATTGGATCTCATTCTTTTTCACGGCTGAGTAGTACTCTATTGTGTATATGTGCAAAATTTTCTTTATCCTTTCATCTGTTGATAAGCACTTAGGTTGCTTCTGAATCTTAGCTATTGTAAACAGTGCTGCAACAAACATGAGTGCAGATACATCTTTGATATACTGATTTCCTTTTGTGTGTGTGTGTGTGTGTGTATATTCAGCAGTGAGATTACCGAATCATATGGTAGCTCAATTTTTAGTTTTTTGATGAATCTCCAAACTATTGTCCATAGTGGTTGCACTGATTTACATTCCCACCAACAGTGTACAAGGGTACATTGTACATAATTGTACGTTTTCTACATAATTGACAGAATTCGTTATCGTCTGTCTTTTGGATACAAGCCATTTCAACTGGGGTGACACGATATATCATTGTAGTTTTTATTTGCATTTCTCTGATCCTCAATGATGTTAAGCACCTTTTCATGTGACTGTTTGCCATTCATATGTCTTCTTTTGAGAAATAGCTTTTCAAATATTTTGGCCATTTTTGGATTGTATTATTAGATTTTTTTCTAGAGAGTTGTTTAAGCTCCTTCTATATTTTGGCTATTGATCCATTGTCAGAGGAGTAGTTTGCAAATATTTTCTCCCATTCTGTGGGTTGTCTGTTCACTTTGTGGATAGTTTCCTTTGATGTGCAGAACCTTTTTCACTTAATGTGATCCCATTTGTTCTTTTTCACTTTGGTGGCTTTGTTTGTGGGGTATTGCTCAAGAAATTTTTGCCTGGACCAATATCCTGAAGATTTTCCCCAGTGTTTTTTTTTGTAGTAGTTTCTTAGATTTAAGTCTTTACTATTTTGATTTTACTTTCGTATATGGTGAGAGTTAGGAGTCAAATTTTATTCTTCTGCATATGGGTCTCCGGTTTTCTCAGCACCATGTATTTAAGAGACTGTCCTTTATATGTTCTTGGCACCTTTGTGAAAAATGAGTTCACTGTAGGTATGTGGATTTGTTTATGGGTTCTCTATTCTATTCCATTGGTCTATGTGTCTCTTTTTATGTCAGTACCATGCTGTTATGGTTACTATAGGGCTGTGGTATAATTTGAAGTTGAGTAATGTGATTCCTTCAGTTTTGTTCTTTTCGCTTAGGATAGCTTTGGCTAGTCTGGGTCTTTTGTGATTCCATGTAAATTTTAAGGTTTTTTTTTTTCTATTTCTTCACAGAAACAGAGAATATTGATTTTTTTCAGAAAAAAAATGCAAATAAGCAAAACAAAATTTCCAATTGCTCCATTGTTCATACATTCAGATATTTTAGGATTTTTTCTGCCAATATATTTAAGAATAAAATTGTACTGTAAATGATTTTATAAATGTGGGATTTGTTGTTTAATATGTTTAACATTTTAGAATTTTCATTTAACACTATTATTATTATTATTATATCATGTTATAACAGGAAATGAACATTCAAGTGTCAGATAATCAGTTGGATATTTCATTACATGACAACATGAAACTTTATTTAAGGAGTGCCCATTAGTGGATATTTAGTTTCCTTTTTCATTTTTGGCTAATTTTTAGAATACTCTAATGAACAACTTTGTACATATATATTTTCACATGTTCTTTTTTGTTTGGTTTAGTTTTTATTTTACTTTAAGTTCTGGGATACATGTGCAGAATGTACTGGTTTGTTGCATAGGTATACGTGTGCCATGGTGGTTTGCTGCATCTATCAATACCTCATCTAGGTTTTAAGCCCCACATGCGTTAGGTATTTGTCCTAATGCTCTCCCTCATCTTGCCCCCCACTCCCCAACAGGTCCCAGTGTGTAATGTTTCCCTCCCTGTGTCCATGTGTTCTTATTGTTCAACTCCTACTTATTAGTGAGAATATGCAGTGTTTGGCTTTCTGTTCCTGTGTTAATTTGCTGAGAGTGATGGTTTCCAGCTTCATCCACGTCCTTGCAAAGGACATGAACTCATTCTTTTTTATGGCTGCATAGTATTCCATGGTATATATGTGCCACATTTTCTTTATCCAGTATGTCATTGATGGGCATTTGAGTTGGTTCCAAGTCTTTGCTGTTGTAAATAGTGCTGCAATAAACATACGTGTGCATGTGTCTTTATAGTAGAATGATTTATAATCCTTTGGGTATATACCCAGTAATGGGATTGCTGGGTCAAATGGTATTTCTGGTTCTAGATCCTTGAGGAATCGCCACACTGTCTTCCACAATATTGAACTAATTTACACTCCCACCAACAGTGTAAAAGTGTTCCTATTTCTCCACAGCCTTGTCAGCATCTGTTGTTTCTTGACTTTTTAATCAACATCATTCTGATTAGCATGTGAGGCTCTTCTGCCTTGGAAAGGGGAAGGAAGAGTGAGGACTGAATCTTGAGGTTTGAGTGCCAGCCTAGCCACGGTACATGCTCTTGCTTTTCTAGTTCTTTAAGATGCATTGTTAAATTGTTTACTTGAAGTTTTTCCTCTTTTTAGACACTTATAGCTATAATATTTCCTCTTAGTATTGATTTTGCTGTATCCCAAGAGGTTTAGGTGTGTTGCATTTCCTGATATGTTGTGTTTGCTCGTATATTGTGTTTACATTATGATTTGTTTTAAGAAATTTTTCAATTGCCTTCATAATTTCTTCATTGATCGAGTCATTCAGAAGCATATTTCATTTTCATGTATTTGTATAGTTTCTGAAATTCCTCTTCTTATTAATTTCTAGTTTTATCCCATTGTGGTCAGAGAAGGTGCTTATCATTTAAATTGTTTTTGAATATTTTAAGACTTGTTTTGTGACCTAAAATATGGTGTATCCTTGAGAATTATCCATGTGCTAAGGAAAAGAATGTGTATTCTTCAGTTCTTGGATAAAATGTTCTGTAAATATCTATTATATTTATTGGGTCTATAGTACAGATTAAGGCTGATGTTTCTTTGCTGGTTTTCTGTCTAGAATATCTGTTCAGCGCTGAAAGTGGGTTGTTGAAGTCTCCAGCTATTATTGTATGGGTCCTCTCTCTCTTTCTCTCTCATAATATATTTTTTATATATCTGGGACTTCCAGTGTTGAGTGCATGCATAATTAAAATTGTTATAACCTCTTGCTGAATTGACATCCTTATCATTATATAGTGACCTTCTTTGTCTCTTATAGTTTTGGTCTTGAAATATATTTTGTCTGATATAAGTATAGCAACTCCTACTCTTCTTTGGCTTCCATTGGCCTGGAATATCTTTATCCCTCCCTTTATTTTTGGTCTATGTGTGTGTTTATAGATGAAGTGTGTTTCTCATAGTCAGGAGATCATTAGATTTTTTTTCTTTTTAATCTATTCTGCTAGTCTATGTCTTTTGATTGGCGAGTCTAGTCCATTTACATTCAATGTTTTTATTGATAAGTAAGGACTTATTTCTGCCATTTTGTTATGGTTATTCTGGTTGTTTTGTGGTCTTCTCTTTCTTCTTTTTTTTTCTTTCCATCTTTCTTTCATGAAGATGATTTTCTCTGGTGATATGAATTAGTTATTTGCTTTTCATTTTTTTGTGTATCCATTGTATGTTTTTGGTTTGAAGTTACCATAAGGCTTGCAGATACAATCTCATAACTCATTATTTTAACCTGACAACAACATTACATTGTTTGCATAAACAAGCAAAAAGAAAACTAATAAAAATGCTGTGCTTTAACTTTATTTTCCCTGCCCAGTTTTAATCATTTTTTTTGTTTCTATTTATATGTTGTTGTACTATGTCTTGAAAAGTTGTAGCTATTATTTCTTTACTTAGGGTGAGACCAGTTTACACATCACAGTTACAGTGCTATAATGTTTTTAGAAGTCTAACTGTATTGTAACATAATACAATATGTTGTATTGTACTGTGGCTGGGCTGGCACTCAAACCTCAAGATACAGTCTTCACTCTTCCTTCCCCTTTCCAAGGCAGAGGAGCCTCACCCCATAGCTACCACCACTCTAGGCTATAGTACTGCCAGACTACGAGCAATATTTCCTTAAGGCCCAAGGGCTCGTAAGTCAGCTTCTATTGCATGCTGTCTGGTCTAGGACTCACCCTTCAAGGCAATTGTCTCACCTCTTGCCTAGGGAAGATCCAGAAATGCCATTCAAGAGTCCGTCCTGGAATCAGGGACTTCAAGAGCCCGCTTGGTGCTACATCTCCTGAGGCTTTGCTGGTACCTAAGGAGCAAGACAAAATCTGCTTTACTTTTCCTACCGCTTTTCTCAAGCAGAAGGAGTTTTACCCCATAACCGCCACAGCTCTTAATGTGCTGAGCCTCGCCTGAAGCCGGCAAGTCTCACATGCTCACCCAAGGGCCTTGACGTAGTACCTGGGTATTGCTGCTGGTTATTATGGACCCAAGAGTTCTTCAATTAGCAGATGATGAATGCTGCCAGTACTGGGTCCTTTCCTTCAAGACAGTAGGTTTTCTTCTGGCTCAGGGTGTGTCTAGTAATATGATCTGGGAACTAGGACTTGGAACCCGGGGCCCTGGAATTGGGGCTTCACAACTCTGGTACTCTCTCCTTCTGTGGCTGAGATGGTATCCAAGATGCAATATGAAGTCTTACCCGCTCTCCCCTCTCCTCTTCTCAAGTAGAAGGAAGGGGTCTCTTTTGGAGCCATGAACTATGCAGCCTGAGGTTAGTGGAGGGGTAATGCCAGTGCTCCCTTGGCCACTCCAGTTTGTGTCTCAGTATGTCACATGCTCCCTCTCCCCAGTGTACTGTCTCTGAGCCTAGTTCAGCACTAGGACTCCCATAAGAGTTGCAGTCTTTATGGCCTAGACTGTTTTTAAAGTTTACTTGGAGATACAGAGCACTGAAGCTCTCGGTGGTGAGATTTGTTGGAATTCAAGTTTTGCCTGCTGGGATTGATGATTCCCCTCTGGCTAGGGCTGGTTTACATGCTCCCTCTGTGGGTGGGCATCAGTTGAGTTTGGTCAGGTTTTCCTTTCTGCTCTAGAAGTACAGCACTGAGTTCAATGCCTCATAATTGCTGTGTTCTGTTTCCCCCAGTGCCCAGAGATGCTTTTTGCACCATGTCACAACTGCCAGCTAGTGATGGGAGGGTAGCCTCAGTAATTCAGGACTATTTTTTTCTATCTCTTCAGTGCTTCTTTGAGCTATATTAAGTTTAAATCAGGTATGATGAGTGCTCATTTTTGGTTCCTATAAAGGTGTTTTTTCTGTGTATATTGGTGTCCTTGCTTGGAGAATGATCTCTGTGGACCCTTCTATTCTGCCGTCTTGCTCTGTCTCTTCCCTGCATTTTCTATTTTATTCTCAATCAGCCACTTTAGAATTTATCTGTTTTATAGGTCTTTCAAACATCCAAACATCCATTAATAAAACATCCAAACATCCAAACATCCATTAATAAAACCCTTTAGTTTTATTAATTGCTTTGGTATTTTCTTTTTTTTATTCCCTACTTACTTAAAACATATTAGTTCAGTTTTTGTTTCTTGTTAGGGTATAATTCCTTTCTTATCCTAATTTCTTTATATTAAATGAAGGTAATTCATATTCCTTCTTTCTTTCCTTCCTTCCTTCCTTCCTTCCTTCCCTTTTTTCTTTTTGTTTCTCCTTCCTTTTCTTCCTACTTTTCTTCTTTTATGTTTTTAAACTTTAAGTATTTCCAGCATCTCTGGCTATATGTTTTCCTTAGAGCTTTAGTGATACAGCAAAACTTTTGGTATGAACGATTTTGCTTTTAATTACATTGTGTGTAGTTCAAAATTTCAGTTTTATTTTTATTTTGATGTAGGAGTTATTTAGGAAAAATACAAAATTTTAGGTATTAAAGTTTTAAAAACATTTTATTTCTAGTTTTATTGGTTATAATCAAAGAATCTAGTCTATAAAAGAGCTGTTTTTTTTAGATTTTCTCTTTAAATTTTTTTCTTCCCTGTTGTCCTTATAATTTTTAATGTTCTCTATTTTTGACCAGTAAATAAATGATTACAATTTAATCCAAGAGTTTAACCTATTCAGGTTTATTTGATAACTTATTATTTATCTCTAAATTCTGTTATTTTATTATTTTTAACAAATGCATCAGTGTTGTTTACTTTTACTTCTTCTATGTTATATAACTCTCCCTTCTCTTAAAATATGCCTTGAAATGCCACCACTTCTTAAATACTGGGATAGGTATTTAGCATTGTAGTGATCATTTCTTTGAATTTAAATACTGGTTTTTGCTTTGCTTTGTTTTCCCCTCCTATTTCTCTTAGTTGTGAGCTATAATGAATGTGACCTCCAGAACACTTCATATCAGTTTTGTCAGTCAGAATTCTTTGCTATGTAACAGAATTGATCGAAAGGATTACGGTAGCTTGGAGAATCTCTGAGGATGCTAAAGGAACCAGTGTAGATAATGAGCATGAGCCAGAGCTGGGTTTGTAGACAAGAAACAACTAGTTAAGGTGCTATTGTTGCTGCCACCATGACAGCATACCCATAAGCAATCCCTTTCACTGTTCAACTGTTGACTCTTTTGTTCCTACCATGACTAATACCTGGCTATGCATCATTTTCCCAAGTTCAGTCTTGAGTGACAGAGTCTAATTCATGTTTCTACATCCTAGAACCCTGGAGGGAGATAAAGAAAGCATTTGCCTTCTTGATTTCCTGCCTATCATTAATCATAACCATTGATGGAGTTTCATAAGTGAAGAAGATTGTTTGGATGCTGAGTAAACACATAACAATGCATTTCTATTACATGTAAACATTTTGCTCTGGGTACGCACATAAATTAGTTTTTAAAACATGCAGACGTGTTTGCCTTCATTATTTTACTTTCAAAAAGAGAAAACCTCTCATCTAACAATGCAACTTTCCTTCAGACTGTCCAAAGTGTGCTGACACCTTTTCTAGTGGAAGCAAATTTAATGTTTCAATATTTTTTGAGGATGTCTCCAAGATCAGAACTTCTGGATGATGTCCATTTGTCTCATATTACAGATTTGGTCCACTATTAATATTTTTCAGCTTTTGTATTAAATTGAAATGTCATCCCCTATGAACACTCTCCATATGCAGTAACAGATGTGAAAAAAGACAAGTAATACTTAATTATTTTATATGCACATATATTTTTCCCTTTTTAAATAGCAGTGTTCCTGTCCTACATAGTATAAGCACCTAAGACTACAGGACCTATGATTATAGGGAGAAAAAAATGTTTTTTAAAAAATGAATGAATCATTAGGCTTAAGTTAACTTTTTGTTTCATAAATTTGGGTATAAAATTGTTGAAAATATAGTATCACAAATACATTGTAGGTTCAGAGTATGTGCCACATGTTATCAATAGTTGTAACTGATTTTCATCAGCCCATAACACTTTCTCATTCTATGTAAAGGACGTGTCCAAAAAAGAAGCAATGCTGGGCAGAATATCAGAACATTCATTAAGCCAAGAGATGATAGTGCATACAGATGCATAATGAATAAGAACATGCAACTCCAAATCCTGAGTAAGTGTATATTCCAATGAGGACAAGAAACTAACTACTTTGTGTTAGGAGACTCAACTATAACCCATTTAATATCAAAATAGCTGGTTGGGCTCACAATATGGTCACCCATACGATGCTATGGCTACTGGAGATAGTAGGTCCCACAGCAGTGATTATAAAAAGTCAGACTTGGTCAGGAGAATTAATGTTTCTGATTCCATTAATTGCCTTTATTCTTTTTACCTTAAACACTTTGTGCTTGAGTTGATTGTGTAAGCACTGCATTGATCAAGGAGGAGGCTGCCTGAAATCAGAGAGTTTATCATGTTTCTACTTCATTAAGAAGCATCTTCATTGGGAGTTTTCACTAAACATTTGCATGAGAAATAGTTCATAACTGAAAATCAATTCCGAAGTATTTGTTCAAACTTGAAAAAAGTTTACATAATTTATTGAAAATTATGAAATTAATCTTTAGATGTACTAAAACAGATTATAAATATATTACTCTGTAAAAAATCAAAGATTAATTTTTAAAACTTGGTGTTAGCTATTGCTTCATTCAAATGGAGACCGAGTCTGAGGAGGGAGAAAGGCATTTGTCATTGTGTAGCCTTTCTTCTTGTTTGGATTTTTAAAATTTATACTTTTGTATATTCATGCATAGAAAAATGAGTAGAAAAAGACACTAGAAGACTCTTAATACCTATTATACAAGGTATCTTTTATATTCATTGCTTTAGAATGCTATTTCATCTACAGTTGTAATCTGGTAAATTGATGGTGAAACTCTCTGAAGATGGTTTGGCATTGGGAGGCATTAAGGAGACCTGGTGTTATTTGCATTAGACCAGCATTTTTACAAATTCAAAGTAAGACTTTATTTAATGAACAATTATTTCATAGATTGTGCCTATGTATTTCAAATCTAGACATTATTAAATATGGTTGTAATTCTCCTAAAAAATAGCTGCATATTTACAATGCAAATTCTATTGAGTCTATAGAAAACTTGCATTGAAATGCAAATGAGTTTGCAGTGCTCCAACAGCAAGAATATATGAAAGCTTTCTTAAATATTATTTAACACTCATTTATGCCTGTTATGTAAAAAGTACTTAAATATTTTTGGGGGCTATGTTTATTTATCATGATGATTCCTTCCTTTATTTCTTAATTCATTTATCACTTATTATCTCCAATATTCTGGAATATTTTCTAGGACTTTAGGTAAAGTTTTCATAGGCATCTCATAATCTATGCTCTGATGGAGCTTGTAATTTAGTTGTAAGGAGGGGAGACAAATTACTAAGGCAAAATAAATATATAAATAGTAACAGTAGCAAAATAATTTTAAACACTGTGTAGTACTTAAAAGAAAGTAAAATGGGTTGATTCAAATGACAAATAGTGGTTGAGGTATGGGTAAGGCTGGGATTGGGGGTGGGTTGTGGGGGTTCATAGTATATGATAGTTAAAGGGAACATACCGGATAATGAGGTAAAGATTTAGAGCCCTGAGAAGGTTTTATTTTCTTTATAGTTTCTTTTCTGTTCTTTTCAGCATATTTTTTTAGGGGAAGATGGTTGTTTATTCTTGTAGATGCAAGATTGCTATTATTTCAGAGAATTTGATGGGGTAAAAACTGTGTACTTTATTCAAAGGCTATCTCTGTTCAAATTTAGAGCGTGTGGTAGATTTAAACAAGTCAGAGAAAACAGTGACTTAATGAATGGCAGATTTGTCTGTCCATGTATTCTCTTATTCATTCATATAAAAACACTCTTTTGAAGTGTCTGTTATTTGTTTTGTCTTTGGTAATATCAGGTTATTCAGTCAATCTTTCATACCTTCTAAAAATTGCATTCGTTTCTACCTACCTGAAAGGAGCAGGAACCATCACATAAAATGTGTCTTGCAAATTGGCATTTATTTATCCCCTATAATAAGAAGAATAGAGAGAGGTGGTTGGTTGTTGGCACTGATACCGTCACTTAATGAATCATCAAAGAACCAGGCTCCTTATGAATTTTTATTCCATCATGATTAGCCGGTTGTCATTTTTCTTCTTGTCTTCAAGATGGCTGCTATATCTCCAGACATGAGGAAGGGAAAAAAGCACTGAATGCCAGAGCCATTGTTATCATTTGGCAGGGAAGCAGAAACATTCCTAAAACCTCTTGGCTAAATTCTGCGTAAGTCTTTTTGCCTAGAATTGAGTCCTGTGGGCACCCCAGCAGCAAGGGATACAGAAGAAGCAAGTAATAGGATTATGAATGGCATAAAACAATTTGTATGCATTTCCTTGAGCTCATCACATTGGTGCTCCATATAAAATCAAAGTTTACTTCACAAGGAATATGAGTGACAGTGGATATTAGGTAGTCAAATATGAGTAATTTTCTACAACTGCAACTTATAACTCGGTAAAAAAAATAAACTCTTTTATCAAATGTATTTTAAAAATATGTCTTTTGGGGAATGTTTTAGCTGCTTGATATTTTCCCAAAGTTGTATTATCTTTTTTATACTGGGGTTTTCTAATTAATTGACTATAAATGAATGATCATCAAAAATAACTGGGGTGATAATAATAGGAAATACTCATAATTACTCTATGTTCTACATGCTTTACATGTAATAACTCATTTAATACTCACAACTCTGAAAAGAAGGTACAGGTTGGGCAACCCTAATCCTAAAATCTTAAATCTGAAATGCTCCAAAATCAGGAACTTTTTCATGCTGGCATAATGCCACAAGTGGAAAATTCCACATCTGAACTCACGTGATGGGTCATAGTCAAAACACAACCAAAACTTTGTTTTGTGCACAAAATTACTTAATACATTGTATAAGGTGGTGCACCCCTGTAGTTCCAGCTACTCAGAAGGCCGAGGCAGGATAACTGAACCACCATCACTAAGATTGAATTGTGAGAAGGCACAGCGAGTAGCATATAGAACTTAAGAATCATGCTCGGTTGACTGCCAGCAAACTAATGGGACACTGAATTATCTCAACAACCACATGAGATTGGAAGAGAACTCTGAGCTCCAATAAGAAATGGTGCTACTTTGACATGGATTGCAGCTTTATGGGAATCCGAGAACCCAGATAAGCTGATTGTTAGTTTAGGTGTTACAAATCTACTTCCCTTTTTTATTATTGGCAGTTGACATTTACCAAATGAATTTCAAAGTATTGTTTAAGAAATGGTGTTTGGAGTTTGAACATGTTTGTGCTGGTTGCAACACATAACACAATCCTCATATAAGCAGATTTTAACAATAGCCTCTACATTACTCTTAAAACTACTCATCATATTTGGGTTTGACATCACATTATCCATTGTAATAAAGGTAAAATTTCCACCACAAAAATGCATCCATTTGAATATATATAACAAATATTTGAATTTCAGAATTTGAACATGTATTTGCAAAAGTGGAGTTTACTGTTACTTTTGACCTGATGTTGCAGATATGAAAATTATTTAAAATTTGAGAAATTAATTCAATATATGTTATATAGCCCCATTTTTATACATGTATTTCAAGTTATATATAATGCCTTTAAGAAATCCTGATACTTTTAGATACTGAATTTGTTAAATATTGAAGAACTACTTTCATGCAAAGAGTCAAAATGGCTGCTTTCAAGTGGCCCCAAAACGTGAAAAAATTCTTAACGTCACTAATCATTAGAGAAATGCAAATTAAAACCATGATGAGATACTATCTCACAGTCAGAATTAAAAAGTCAAAAACCAACAGATATTCACCAGGATGCATAGAAAAGGAAATGCTTATTCACTTTTGTTGGAAATGTAAATTAGTACATTGAAAATAGTATGGAGATTTCTCAAAGTACTAAAATTAGAACTACCATGCAATCCTGCAATCCTACTACTGGGTATCTACCCAAGGGAAAATAAATCCTTATATTGAAAAGCACACCTTCGTGCATCTATTTATCACAGTGCTATTCACAAGGGCAAAGTCATGGAGTCAACCTAAGTGTTCATCAATGAATGATTGGATAAGGAAAATATGATCGATCTATCTATCTATCTATCTATCTATCTATCTATCTATCTATCTATCTATTGCTCTATTGACACACCACACATGTACCTTAGTATACTACACAGCTATACAAAAGATTGAAACCATATCTTTTGAGGCAACATGGATGGAACTGGAAGCCATTATTCTAAATAAAATGACTCAGAAACACAAAGTCAGGCCAGGCATGATGGCTCACACCTATAATCTCAATACTTTGGGAGGCTAAGGAGGGAGAATCGCTTGAGCTCAAGAGTTCAAGACCAGCCTGGGCAACATATGGAGATCCCCGTTTCTACAAAAATAATAAAACAATTAGCCAGGCATGGTGGTCTATGCCTGTGGTGACAACTATTCAGGAGGCTGAGGTGGGGGGATTGCTAGGGTCTAGGAGTACAAAGTTGCAGTGATCTGTCATCCCATCACTGCACTGCAGCCTAGGTGACAGGGAGAGAGAGAGAGACTCTGTCTTAAAGAAAGAAAGAAAAAAAGAAGCAGAAAATCAAAAACTGCATGTTCTCACTCAAAAGTGGAAGCTAAACTATGGGTAAACATACACAGTGGAATAATAGACATTGGAAACCCAAGAAGGTGGGAGACTGGGATGGGGGTGAGAGATGAAATACTACCTACTGGGTACAATGTACACTATTTGGGTATTGGTACATTGAAAGTCCAGTCACCACTACACAATATATCCATGTAACACAACTTCACTTGTACTCCCTAAATCTATAAAAATTTAAAAACTGCCTGGCTTCTGTTAACATTTGTGGGGTGCTATTAAACTTAATTATTTCTGAATTAGGCCTTTTATAGGACAAAAGTTGCAAATTTGCAATCTAGGAAAAAACTTATAAAAATAATTTAGAAATGTTTTTCAATATGCCAGCCAATAACTATATTTATTCATTTTTATCTTTATATATTTATGTAGTTTATGTAATATTATAATGTTGTTGAAGCTCAAGAAATACCATCTCAAAACATTACTGTATACCAGATTATGGCACCCAAAAATATACTTCATTGGCAAAATGATTCTGTGGAGTTGATTATTTAGAGAAACTGCAGGCACAGGAGTAGTACTGAAAAGCTGCTCTTTTGTAAAGGATATTTACATCTATAAAATAAATTTTCATTAGTAAATGTATCTATACCAAGCAGGTATCTCCATCATCAGAGAACTTTAATCTGCATAAAAAGTCAATCTTTTCTTTTTTATTTTAAGTTTTATTTTCAATTCAGGGGGTACACATGAGAGTTTGTCACATGGGTATCTTATGTGGTGCTGAAGTTTGGGGTATGAATTATCCCATCACCCAGATAGTGAGTATGGTATCCAATGGGTAGTTTTTCAGCCTTTGCCACCCTCTCCCTCTTCCCTCTAGTAGTCTCCAGTGTCTATTTTCCCCATCTTTATGTTCATGAATACTTGGTGTTTAGCTCCCCCTTTATAAGTGAGAATGTGAGGTAGTTGTTTTCTGTTCCTGCATTAATTTGCTTTGGATAATGGCCTTCAGCTGCATTCATGTTTTTGCAAAGGACATCGTTTCATTTGTTATGGCTGTGTATTATTCCATGGTGTATACGTACCACATTTTCTTTACCCAATCCAACAACATGGGCACCTCGTTTTATTCCATGTCTTTACAATTGCAAATAGTGCTGCGATGAACATGTACATGCCTGTGTCTTTTTGGTATAGAATGATTTACTTTCCTTTGGGTAGATATCTAGTAATTGAATTTCTGGACTGAATGGTAGTTCTATTTTATGTTATTTGAGAAATCTGCAAACTGTTCTCTACAGTGGAAGAACTAATTTACATTCCCGCCAATGGTGTATAAGTGTTTCCTTTTTTTGCAACCTCACCAGCATGTTATTTTTTGACTTTTTATAATAGGTATTCTGACTGCTGTGAGATGGTATCTCCTTGTGGTTTTGATTTGCATTTCTCTGGTGATTAGTGATATGCAGCATTTTTTCATATGTTTGTTGGCTGCTTGTATGTCTTCTTTTGAAAAGTGTCTGTTTATGTCCTTTGCCTACTTTTTAATGGGGTTATTTTATTTTTTCTTACTGACTTGTATCAGTTCCTTATAGATACTGGATATTAGTTCTTTGTCGGATGCATAGTTTGGAAATATTTTCTCCCATTTTTAAGTTGTCTGTTTACTCTGTTAATTATTTCTTTTGCTGTCCAGAAGCTTTTTACTTTATTTCAGTCCCATTTGTCTATTTTTGTTTTTGTTGCATTTGCTTTTAAGGTCTTAGTTATAAATTCTTTGCCTAGATCAATGTCCAGAAGAGTTTGTCCCAGGTTTTCTTCTGTGATTTTTATAGTTTCAGGTATTACATTTAAGTGTATAATCCATCTCGAGTTAATTTTTGTATATGATGAGAGATAGGAGTCCAGTTTCATTCTTCTGAACATGCCTAGCCAGGTTTCCCAGCATCATTTATCTATTTGTCGAATAGGCTGTCCTTTGCTCATTGTTCACTTTTACCAACTTTATCTAAGATCATTGGTTTTAGGTATGTAGCTTTATTATTAAGTTGTCTATTCTGTGGCATCAGAAAAAGATAATCTTTATTCACATTTCCTCCCCTCATCTTCCAATAATTTGTCTTCACTACTGCTCAGAAGCCACAAGTCACTATTCTTTTTTGTAGCTTAGGATGCTATATAAGTTTAAATCATCTGGCCTTTCCTTGAGTCTCATATTTTTGTAGGTCTCCCACACATATGTAGACAAATAAAATTGATTTCTTTCCTTTTAATCTGTTTTAGTCATTTTAGTTTGTAGCCCAGCCAAAAAACCTAAGAGAGTAGAAGGCAACAATTTTTCCCTCTGTTACAATATGTAGTTTCCAGTACTGAGTGGATACAAATGGTAGGGAAAGAATAATTTTTTTTCGACCCTCATAGGTTCTTACTTGGAATGGACCCTTGTAACAAAAGGCAGATTAACAAGAGAAAAGCAAACAGAAGTTTATTATCATGTATATTTCATATATACATGGGGGACATGCAGGTAATAGTTTTCAAAAGGTGGAGGCTTTGAATTACAGTTTGTATATCATCTTCAACTATGAACAATACATTTTTAGAGATGTATCAAGACAAAGGAAAAGGACATTAAGCCTCTATGAATAGCAACTTGTGGAAAGACAAACAAATTACAGATAAAGGCTAGTTAGTAAAGCTGTTCAATGCCTAGTCCTCTTGTAGCAACTCCAGGCCCATAAGTGTCTAAAGTTATCTTCCGTGGTTAACCTTTGTTCTACTTAACCTTTTGTCTTTGGAAATTGATGTCCTGTTTTTAGGCAAATAGAAGGAGGGTAGAAAGCTTTACTGTATGTGCTTCTTCTGAATTGCCTTCAGCTCAATGATCTTTCATATTTTGTGTTGACATATTCTGGTCTTCCACTATTCTTAATAAGTTAAATAATTATTGAATAAACTTATAAAAAACAAGTAAATTCGCTCTCCCTGATCAGGAATTTCAAATACTGACTTTGATAATGCCATTGAAACACTACTCAGAAGATAAGAACAATACTTATTATTATAGTTGTAACAATATTAAAATATTTAACATATAGAGTTTCTCCCACTTTTGTTTTCCCCCTTACCCCAATAATTGATATAACTAGAGTATTTCATGTATTATTTCTTTTTCAAATGATAAAACAATTGTCTCACCCTGCCAACTGGAAATTCAAAAGTCTCAAAAAGCCAGAATTCTGTATTCTTTGTTTTCTGAAGATATTCATAACCACCAAAGAGTTAAATGTAATTTCTATTAGAGAAAAGATGAGCAAATACATTAAATTTTACTATCATTAAAAACTTTTTAATGATACTATTTTACTATCATTAATAATACTATTTTACTATCACTAAAAACTTATTTACTCTATGGCCCTTCAAATGGAGAAATGTAAACAGCTTCCCCAAAATGAGCCACAGATAATGCAGAGAAGTTAAGGAAATCTACATTCAGTTGGCCAATCTCAGAAAAGATTCATCAGCTTTAATCTTATTCTCTTGATTACTCTGAGGTAAATAAAGTACATGAGGTAAAGGCAGAATTTGAGCCATGGTTGGAGTAAAGGAGGCATGGTAAGGCAAACACAATGTAAATGAAGGTACAAATCTGGTGTGGACTTAGCAGAGAGTAGAAACAGAATTCACTCAAGAGGAGGTACTAACTGAAGAAGGTTCTAATAGGATGTCTCGAGATGTGCCATAAAAATATAGAAAAAAATAAGCCAATAAAATGATGAAACAGGTGGTATACATTATGCAAAACTCATTTGTCTAAAAAAGACAAATCTCTCATCTGGGAGTAAATACATGCTACAGAGAAAGGGGTTTCATATTACCTGTAATAATATGTTTGTTTTACAGTTTTAGGAATTTAGGTCTGAGAGACTCCTAGAAGGCAGGAAAGGGTAATCATGAATTCTTTTAAAGAAAATATTTCATAAAATAAGTGTTTCATTCTGATTCATACCTGTCAATAATGCAAAGAATATCTCTCTCCAAAACGGCTCATTTAAAAAATTGTGTTAATTACTAATGTATATACATATTTTTATAAAAAGTATGTTATCTATATCACAAATGTCAAACATGCAGATTTATATGGACAAAATATTAGAGATGCTTTTGCAACTTTTCTGTCACCCTATTTAGCTTATTTTGTCTACATTGATATTTTCATTTTAGTTGATCATTTTCTGACCAAGCAAGAGAGAACATATTCTTTTATTGAAGATTGTATTGCTACTAATTCAAAGTGATGCAGCATGAGGAACATATTTTTGGTTTACCAAAATATACTTGACCTGGAAGTATGGAAAGGAATGTTCTGCACTAGTAAATACTCTGATTCATCTGTCACTGAATATGAAGAAGTGATATACATAGGATATCAAGCTGTCATTTCTATGATTTTGTTTTTTTGGAGGGGTTGTTTTTTGGCTTTAACCAGGAACACTTTGGGAAATATTTTTTAAAAACAGCAATCTGAGACATTTTTCTTATAACTATCAGAGGCAAGCCTATATTCAAGTTCTAGAGGAGAATAAAGAACAGAACAAAGTCAAATTAAAAAACATATCATTGTCATAAGATGACCACATTATTATTATGTATTATCTAAAAATTAGATATATTTTTATAAAACAAATTTAATTCTACCACTTTCTCTTTTAAATTAGTATTTTATTTAATGCAACCATTCATTTCATTATTGTTAATGATTTTTAACTGAAATTAAAATGGCTTCAAGACAATAGAATTTATATTTATTATAAAATATTTTAATATAAATTGATGAAATAGGCCATTTCAATATATTGAGTTCCTCCAATCTTATATGAGTCTCATAAATGTTAACAGTCTTTTTGCAGTTAATTAAACTAGCACTCCAGTTCATTATTTTTAAAACCTAAGTGTATGTCTCTAAGAAAACCTGGAAAGATTTTTGGTCTGAAAAATTGTCTTCTATTTATGATTAACACGACAAATAAGAAGCTAAGCAATCTTCCTAAGGCCATAATGCTGTGCAAAGGATAAAACACAAGTTGAATCTCTATAATCTTCTTCCAGGCTGAAAAATATAATCTAAATGTAAGATGCAATAATAATAATAAAATAAAAAGCATATGTGATCCCCTTACAGGAAATAATTCAAGTAATAATGGGAAGGCTATAAAGACATTAAAAAGATCAATTTTGCATAAACAATCTTAGCTATAGCAATGTTCAACTTGCCTTAGTTACAAATAAATTACTGAAAAAATTCAATCAATAATATTAAAGGTAACATATAATTAGCATGTAGACTTGGAAGATCAATCTATTATTGTGAGACAAGCTTTCGTTCCGCATGTAACCTAATTTTTTACATTTTCCAATATAATTAGGATTTCTGATAACAACTATAAAAGTAGGAGAAGAAAATATATTTAAGTAATAGAAAATATTTTTCTTGGAACTGTACCATAAATTATTATTTTGATCCTGGAACTCACAGAGCCTCTAAATAGTAGCTATTATAACTAGTAAAAGGACATCACCTGAGGATGATCAAAGGGTTACTACAAAAATTATTTGAAATCGTTAGACACTGTCTACACTTTATCCAACATGCAGTAGCAACAGGAAAAGTAACTTATTCCACAAGCGTTAAAATAGGTGGATTCATATTAGGAGCTTATATAATTAAATATGTTAATAGCTCAATTAGAAAGAGTGATTAATATCAATCATTAAACTAGCTCAGTTAAAAAAGAAAATATTTATTTTATTCACTCAACTTTCGGTATATATAAATAAAGTTACGAAAAATTTTGTCACTACTATTTTCTTTCAGAAATTACTAAAAATTTAACATTGGAATATATTAAATTTATGTATTATTTTGTACATTTCATTTATTTAATCATTTATTTGAGACGGAGTCTCGCTTTGTCGCCCAGGCTGGAGTGCAGTGGTGCTATCTCAGCTCACTGCAACCTTCACCTCCCAGGTTCAAGCAATTCTCCTGCCTCAGCCGCCCAAGTAGCTGGGATTACAGTATCCTGCCACCATGCCCGGCTAATTTTTGTATTTTTAGTAGAGACGGGGTTTCACCATGTTGCCCAGGTTGGTCTCAAACTCCAGACTTCAGATAATCCGCCCGCATCGGCCTCCCAAAATGCTGGGATTACAGGCATGACCACCGCGCCCAGCTGTACATTTCTTTTAAAATGTTACATTTCACAATTAGACTATCAAAATATACCAGCCCTCTCCAAGCGCCAATCCCAAGGATCTGATATGCCTTTAAAAAGCAATTAAGGTGGGCTATGCATGTGCTATTTGAGAATGCTCTTGTAAAAATATTCAATTTTATTTTACAGACAAAATACTTAGTGTATTAAAACTATCATGAAACTTTGCTGCTTCCTCAAGATGATAGTATAATTTCTCTTACGAATTTTTAATGCCTGGCATTAGTTCTATAATTTCTGTTTCTTGTTACGGAGATAATCAAATATGTATCCTCTTCCACTGGATAATATTCTCCAATGTAAGCTATTATTGCAAATAAAAAATCTTAATGAGAAGCAAGGTTATCAATGTAAATACCAGGTTTTATGTTTGTATGGTATTTTGATGGCAATTGATAACTTCAGAGGAGTTATCACTGGGCCATTTATTAAAAAAATAGAATTTAGTACAGAATGCAGTCATTAGAAAGAGTATTTATTAGGAAGGTGCAAATGCCTAGAAATGGTGTAGAATGTGAGATCATTATGGCTAGACCTAAGGTTCAACAAAGTATTTTTCATGGAAGTATATGCATACAGTTTTTTCTAAGAAAATCTGTGCACTTTTTATTCATCAATAGTAGTAAACAATTTTTCTGTTTAATAACTTTTAAACAGCAATTTAAATCTTCTGTGCTTTGTACTGGGCATACAAATTTGTGCAAGATGGAGGTAGTTTATGTTCTCAGGAAACTTACAGTCTAGAAGAAACAATCAGTAACAGTAAATATTACAAAAAGTGTATAAAATAATAGATGAAGTATCTAAGACACATGCTTAAACCTTGAGGTACAAATAAGTTGAGTGAGGCAATGAGGACTTATTAATGGAAAGTAGCATCAAAATTAAATATACGTTTGAAAGATTAGAAGACAAATTACACAGAAGTAGATAGCAATTTCCTAGGCAGAGGAAATGGTGTATGCAGAAGCCTTAAGAGAGAAATCATGGGAAATGCAAGTTATTGAAAGAAGTCTATCATGAAGGGAAAATCAATTTAGATAGTGGAAGAAGAGAGCATTAGGTCTGCTGCTACTTCCCCAGAAGTTTAAACTATTGTATCAAAAGAAAGAAGGTTCTCTGGAACTGCATAGTATTTGTTGTCGTCATTCATGTCTTGCTTGCCTGCTGCTCTTTCTCCTACACGTCTTCACCACCAGTATGGCTCTCTCTGGCCTTCGTCAGGATTTCTAAACTTTTGTAGGAGCACCTAGCGGAAGTCCAAGGAAAATATCTTGCAAAAGGTTACTCACTCCCCTTGTATCAGGGGCTTCAGGATATTCTAGACTGACAAGCTATCCACATTTGATGTTTAGAAAATTGTTCAATTTCTTTTTACCCTCTTGTGTGTTGGCTTTGCTCATTGTCCCAGCTCTTCTTTGAGGGTTCTGTCATTTCCTAAAGTTCAGAATACTCAGTTGCCTTATGACCTCAGTTCTTTGGATGACTCATAAAAGCTATAACTTGACATTTATCCAACTTTTTCTCACTCTTATGGGGGGACCGACATTTTTGAATGTCATTCATCTTAAAAGGATGAATATATGATTTTAAGAATATTAGTCTCCTTTTGGTGTGGGAAGTAAACTGCAATTTGGAGTAAAGGAGAGAAGTTATTTGTGCCATGGTGCAAAACAGGTAAAAAATTATTATAGTCTAGATCAGAGTATTACTACTAAAAGTGGGAACAATGTATATGAATTCAAGAGAGATTCAGATGGGAAAATTGGCAAGGGTCAATAATTAATTAGAGATTTGACAGAGAAAAATTCAAAGACAATTTTCAGGTTTCTGGCTTATAAATAAAGGAGAGTTTTGAGCCACTGGATCTTTTTCTCATTTTATCTTCTTGATTTTCTTTTTTTGCAATCTCAAGTTGTATTTTTTAATTAATATGTTGGAACCAAAGAATAATAACTTGTCAATTCAATCAAAAACATGTGTGCTTATGTTGCCAATGTAAGTGCTTTGTGAAAGTTCTTTTTTCTTTTTAATTATATGCATACTTATGTGCCAGACTCTTCTAGTCACATCTTTTGTTCACATAAAAGGGCTCGATTTGTTCAGGGATTTTCTCTCATACTTTTCACTTTTCTGGGAGACATTAAATTTTGATTTCTTTATCTGACTTGAAAACTCAAATAGGAGCCTTGGCATGTGTTTGTAAAGCTCAATTTTTCCAGAAGTCAGCTTAGAAACAAACTGAAGTTTTACCTGGACAATTTGGTTTTATTTCAACAAAGAAATCCAGAAGCAGACAGTATTTAAAGCAGTTACAATATATTGTATTCAGGACCTATTTCAATAGGGGGAAAATACCTCAGTATGGAACTAGGCTCAATTCTGAATACAGCGTGGACAAGTGAGGATTTATAACTAAGAAGCAGAGGAGGGGCCAGAAGATGGAAACATCAGAGATAAGGCGGGGATTGAGGAGTGGGGGTGGAATTCTTGCTAAACTGACCTAACAGAATTCCTGGCTGAAGGCAGGCCAGGTTAATCAGATATCACCTAAGGGGTGATGGGGACTGAAAAATTTGATCAGATATTGAGGATGATCAGTTATAGGGGTGGGATTCTAACTAAACCAACTTGACAAGATTCTTGCTAAAACTGAGTGATGTACAGATGAACATGAAAGTCCAAAGGTTGAAGTCTAATTAAAAAGAGAACTCGGAGGAGCCTAACTAAAGTTTGGTAAAGGGAGAACATCTTGGTAATTGAAAGAATGACACACCTGACTTGTATTATAGACAGATGACTTATAAATTCTTCATAAAAAGTTGTTTTGTCCTTAGGAGTTTTATAGTACATAATTCAAAAGCAACACATATTAATCAAGTCTAGCATTAATTTCCATTGAAACTGAGTCGGAATAGTTCTACAAATTTGTGAGCTGGAAAGAATCAATTACTTATTCTGTCTCTCAGGATTAAAAACGATGCAGCATTTCAAATTATTCTTGACTTCGAGGTTTTCTGACATGGCAATGCTACTTTGCTTCCTCCCAAAGGATGGCGTGGAGCATATAGGCCATCTTGGCAGTACAGGGGTGTGTGGCTATCCATCACTGTGCAGTCTGTCAGCAAGGATCTTCAACCAGCTGGGAACATGTAGCCCTCACGCAGAGCAGGTTATCGCTGATGGACAATGGTGAGCAGTGAGAGACAGGAAACCAATTTATTAAATTGGATCAGGAAATTTAAAATCTAAATACTATTCTCAATTAGCTGCTTATTATTCCTATAAGACTTCCAAAGGAAATAAGAGCAGGGAAAATAAATATTTAATTAGTTTCACTAGAACTTAAATCCAGGCATCCTTCTGTCTTTCTAGACCCCATATTGTCCTAGCATTGATATGAAGTCTGGATAAATTCTTTTTGCCATGCTTTACTCTGGTTCATCTTTGGCTTTTAGAGAGTGAGACAGGAGTGAAATGTCTCTAGAAGTGAGAGGGATCTTCTGGATTCTTTTTTAACACCAGACATCAAATTACAACAGTTCCGAAAGTCAGGATTGTGAAATTCTTAGTTACCAATAGAAAAATGAGATGTGTTAGAGTAGAATAAATCAGCTTGAAATCATAAAAATTTGTCTTTTAAAATGTATATATAGTGAGGAGTTTTTGAGTAAATGATTAAAAACTAATAAATTAGTATTAGAATACTTGACAAATAAAACAAGGATAAGATGACATTTATATTTCTTAGAAATTTAGCTTTTATTTTCTCTGCATTTTATGGTGTACTCACATAAAATGAGAATCGAACTAATTAAAGACTAAATGAGAATTCACTATATGAAACTTCAAAATGTTAAAACAGAAACAAAAAGCCTAAAGGTGTAAAAAATACATTTCTTTTTTTTTATTTTTTTTTACTTTTATGGATTTTTAATCTCACTCAGCTGTCACTCATTCTCATTATTTTGGGCACATTCTTCAAGCCATCTAAATTGTTCCCACAGTGGCAGCCAAACCAAATAAACAGTCAAACACTGAAGAGTGTGTGATTTCACCAGAGACCTTAAACAATAGAGTGGCCCAGAAGTTTTCTATTAAATGAAAAGAGGTAGGAAACCTCAATGGCAGCTTTAAACATAGAAGGCAAACATTCAATGTGTCCCATTAAAACCAAAAAATCCTAATAACCCCAAATAAAAAAAAATAACAGTGAAAATCTTCTTGCTATGCACTAGATAAGAATTATATTTTAACATGCAGAAAGTTGTACTTTGAAATGCAATGTAGCTCATTTCATATATGTTTAAAAGAGAGTGAAATCCTTAGCAAAAGAATAAATATATTTTATTTAACCTTTTAAAAATTATGAAACATATGTGCTTAACTGGAATTTTATTTTTTCTAGGTTTTTGCTTTATAACGTGAAGTATCACAAATCATTTCACAAAGAAAAATACCTACATAATGAACGCTTATACAAGTTATTTAAAAAAAAATTAAGAATCATACTTTCCGTATCTCCGAACATATACATTGCCATGTTCGCCTACCTCCAAGAGCCAAGTTAAATCCAAACCTAAATATTTGAAAGTCTTTATTTCTGATACAGAAAAATAAAAAGTATATACATTGTGTAGGTGAAAATTAAAATGACTTAAAATTTATGCTCTTGTCCAAAGACCAAACTTGTAGACTCTACCACTATGGTCTATTCATTTGAAGTAGGAAAAAACTTAAGTTTTATTGCTGGGTGAAATGATTTAAAACTAATACACATGTAGATTAAGAGTTTGTTGTAAATAAATGTAATACTCTTTCATTTTTATTTAAATATTGTAGCTAAATAATTTCTTTCTCAGCTTTCTTTACATTAGAAACAAATTAATCAGTATTTGCAAATCTATTCAGTATGTGTCCATTTGTTTATTTTTCCTAAAATTTTTCCCTCAATTATCTCCCATAAATACATGAACATGAGAAAATAACAAGTAAAAATTTCAATAACGCTTCACACTTAAACACAAATTACTCTTGTTGAAAAACAATGCCATGAGGAAGCTCAACTTATGTTTAAGCTCAATGTTAAAATTCTAGCCACATGTTAAAATTTTCTAAATTTCAAATACAAAATGTTGGCTTTTGCTCTGAATTTAATTAGTTTTATTTGAAAAAGTTTTAGGAAGCAAAATAACAGTAGGCTAATTTTATATATTTTAGCAAATAATGAAATGTTTCAAAAGCAGTGAATAATTAATATTTTGAATTTTCTTTATAATATGAAAGTTAATCCACACCTTCTTTCTATGTATTTAGTACTGACCTTTGATTTCATTACATCAAGCCATATTGCACTTTTGTAAACATTACATTTATTCTACGATTCTCATTTGAATTTCAGGTACAAGAGAAAAATAATTAAATAATTTAAATATCTATATATATATATTTTTAATTACAAAAGTAATACAAGCTCATTGTAGATGGAATAGCAATACTGATGACTAAGATCAAGAAAAAATGATTTGCGATTCACCACTCATATTCTTAACATGTTATTTTGTGTTTTCTTATTTATTAGTAAATATTTGTACATCTAAAAATAGATTGTATGTTTATGTAAAGGTTCTAAAAATAAACAAATATGTAATAATATAAAAGCATGAAAAAAATAGATTGTATGTTTCTGTGTCATGTCAGGGGTCACCAAGAGTACCCCCAGCTTTGGGTACTCATGAGAATGAGTCAACAGGTGATATACTTAAGACTATGATTTCTTACAGAAAAGGATACAAAGAAAAATCAGCAATGGAAAAAAGTACATGAGGCAGAGCCTGGGAAAACCATGTGCAAGCTTCCAAGGGTTCTCTCCTTAGCAGAGTTACACAGGATTCAGGACAACCTTAATTCCATGAGCAATGAGTTTTGACAGCGCGTGTGAAATGTTGTCAACCAGGGAAGTTCTTAAGAAACTAAGTGCCCAGGATTTTTATTGGTAGTTGAACATGCAGGCACCCTGCCTGGTGCATACCTGAATTCCAGACTTCCAGAAGACGGATATTCACTATAAACCATATTTTTTGCACAGTTTACACAAATGAGCCATTCATATCTGTCTTGGTGGGAACCCTCCCGAAATCTACATTCCCAGATGTCAGCCAAGAGTCAATTTTGTAAACACATCTTTCAAAGAATAGCAGTAAGGTCTGCTGTGTTAACTCTTTTCTGCACATTTTTATATTATGTCATTGATTGTTTATTTAATTTTTAATATCTGAACATCTTTCAATGTCAATAAATATTATATTTAATGACTGCACTGATTTGAATTTTGTGCATATACCATTGTTTAGCTAATAATTTACTGGTGGATTTTCCGATGTGGGTTTGTATTTTCACTGTAATAAACAAAAAGGCAATGAACATTATAACTCTTTCCTTGGGACAAATTCCCAAAGTAAGATTGCACATTGTAAAGGGTTTTGATTAATACTACTCAGCAGCCCAAATTGTCCTCCAGGACTCAGAATTTCTCACTATTGAAGAAGGATACACATGGTACCACTTTCTTCTATATTAGTACAGATGATGTTTCTTTTTAACCTTCAGTAACAAGTTTTTAGGGGCTTATTTAAACAAAATCTTATACGCTAATGGATGTTTATAAGATCTTTTAAACCTTGCGTTTTAAGTATTCTAAGATTTGCTTTGTTTTTAAGGTTAAAGAGTTGAGTTTTTAAAATAACAATTACATTATTTAAATACATTTGATGGAAAAGTAAAACATATTTCCAATTACATTATATATGAAAATGTAAGATATAATTTATTATTTGTGAAATTTGTGTTTTTTTTCTCATGAATTAAGCCCGCTTTCTCCCTAATTACTCTGTTATTGGGAGCTTTTCTTTTGATGCCATTAAATACTTTGGAGGGTTAATTCTTTTGGGGAAAAATGCCTACAATATAATCTCGAATATTTCAAGTATTTGTGTTGATATAAGCTGTTTGTATGCAAGTTTATAACTGGCTGTGATAAATCTCTCTCAATCCCACTATTAGCCTGAAAAAGCAATCAAATTCTCTATCAAAGTATATTTTCATTTTAAATTCAATAGTCAAGTTTGTTTACTTTAAATTTAAACGGTTGATTAAGCAAGTTGAGAAGTAGAATAGTCCCAATAAAAGGCACAAGGTTGCCCTTTATTTAGAAATTATTAAAAATATTTGAAAATATTGTCATTATTTACCTAAGAGAGAAAAGAAAGCGAATGACAGATATAATGATAAGGGCTACACAATAGCTATGATTATAATGGAAATCAATGAGGTCTAATTTATTCTGCATCATATTATAAGAACAGGGGGTATTCTGAACTGGAAAGGTAATAAATTAGAAGTAGATATTAACCTTGTTTTTAAAATACAGAGAGTGAGCTAGCCAAATAGTGATTAGAAAAAAAACAATAAATACTTAAACATTAGTAAATATTTAATACTAAAAATCCTTGAAACACTGAAAGAAATTTCTTTTCAGTTAATCCTTTGCACATAATCCAATAGAAGGTATAATAAAGAATGTTTGCTTGGCATTTAGAAGGCCACTCTAAGTTGGTAGTCTAAATGAAGACTTCTATATTTGGAGGAAATTATTCTAAATTAATTCAAGAAAGAGTTCACAGGGTGTGCTTTTTGACAGTCATGAAAGAATTCTATTGCACCTGCTTAGGAACGTTTTCCCCTTGTATAAAGTTGTCTGCTATTTTGCTTAGTTTGTGGTAAGTAATTTGCATAAATCCATAATGTAGCTGTTAGATTCTTTTCTCTTGTAGCATTATAATGCTAATAAAGCAGTGAAAAAAAGAATTTAAAAAATCTTTTTAGGCCCAACGCCACTACACTTGACGTTTACATACTCTGTGATAAATATAGCATTAGACTTTTTATGGTAATGCCTTCATGATCTTCACTTCTGGGCATTAGTGCCATGCAGTACTTGCAGAGGACCATAATATGGAAGTTAGAGAGATGTTTTGTAGTGTGTAAGGTATTCTCCTTTTATTTAAATGGGTGGGAGCGGATTGTGGGTAAATAGTTAAATTAATGTTTAGAAGCTTATAGGCATCATTAGCCAGTCATTTCCTCAGCATTTTTCATTTAAAAGTCCTCTATTAAAATGTTTAAGTGAAACTGAGATATAGAAATATTAACATAAAAATATACAAACTTATGAGCCCTTTAAATTGTTTATAATTTCCAACCTAGAAAAACACATCTTAAATTATTCACCCCCAAGATTTAAATCTATGAGTTTTTTTTTGACTGCTTATGATATTGAAAAAAAAAAAACAGTATTTACCACAAACAGGTTTGACTTTCACAAATGTAAAATTTGCTCATATTCAAAACTTCAGTAAGAAGCAAATACAGGATAAATACAAAACAAATACAAACATACAAGCTGATAAAATATAAATTTTATTATACTTATTTAATCTTGTCTTAATAAGGCACCTTTAAGTTGTCAGGCTTAGAATAAGCAGTCATATTATATTTAAACAGATTCCAGAGCATCTAATCAGAAATTATTTTCTTTTTACATTTATTTTTTCCTTTTAAAATATAATTTTACCTACAATAGGACTACAAGCTGTATCTATGAGTATAAGTTAGATTGATGTAAGGAGGAAGCTAAGTTCTTAATGAATTTTATAACATGTCAGGAAAAACATGAGGCAGTGCAATTCAGAAGTGATTCTTAAGAGAGCATCTAAAAAGCCACTTTCCTTTCAACTGATGAAGGAAGATTTTAGTATACTGTAAAAAGAATAAAAAAGAAGATTTCAGAGGAGAAAAATATATTATACAGAGATAAATCTATAAACAAAAGCAAGTATGCAATGAGAGAAGTGAGTCCCTGAGCAATATGGCACATCAAATTGTCAAAGAACAAAATTTCAACAAATCGAGTTTTAAAGATCTAATTGGCTTTCTTAGCAACTTATAAACTGGGCAGCATCCAATGTACACAATAGAAAGAAGCTCTATTAGTTTTTGTAAGGTAGCTTGAGTAAGAACAAGGAAATGTCATAGCACAAAAAGCAGATGGCTAACATCAGGTTACTTCAGGTTACTTTCTTTGTAAGGGTTAAAACAGAGGGGACTTACTTATCAGGCTGGCTCAAGTTGACTGGACCTCTTGCTTGGTAGCTACAACCCTTTTATTCTTTTGAAAACTAGCCTTTTTGGTGATTTTCTTGGTTTCTTTTTTTAAGTTTCAGTTCGGTAATGTGGCATTTAACATGAGTGACATTATTTTGGTTTGGTCTGTTGGGGACTAGTACAGGAGCTCAGTCTAAAACAATGGCCTCTCATACATTTAATTTAACAAAATTAAGGGCTTACAATTGTAAATAACATACAAAGTTATCAATCCAGTCTGGACTGGAAGAGAAGAGGATTCTGAGATTCTTTCTGTTTTTTCTTTTTTTTTTTTTGACTTTGGTTCTATAACCCTTTCACATATTAATATGCACACACACACACACACACACACACACACACACTAACCAAAAATAAATTTTAAAAGCCCCAACTCTTCTTAAACAAAAACAACAATTCAAAACATCTATATGTATACATACAGAAGGATTGATAGGATAACTGGATACACATCCAGATAAACATGTAATTGTGCTGTTTGCTATTTTTTGTTTTACTATATCTTTAGTAAATTATTAGGTATTTAATTTTGAGGTAACTATATATAAAAGAATTATTCACAGGTCTTAGACATAAAATTCTATGTGTTTTGAAAAAAATATACATCCTTATAATCAACAGCCTAATTAAGATATAGAATATTTCCTTCAAATCAGAAGCTTGCCTCACATCTTTTTTAGGTCAATACACCCCCTTCATGAGCAACCTACCACTCTTTTGAATTATATTAATATAAGTTAGTTTTTCTTGTTCTGAAATCTTACTATTTTTGTGTGTTTGTTTAAATCAAAGATTAAGTGGCACTTTTATCAGACATTGAATCCATATATGCAAATCTTTGTTTGTTTGTTTGTTTGTTTTGGTCTCTTTCTTTTAATGATTCCATTTTCTTTCTGCTTTTGTTTGTGCTAGTACCTTTGAGCTGAGATTTCATATCTGGTAGAACTATTCCACTCTTCACTTTTCTTTTTTTATTTTTTCTCCTAGTTATTCTTTTTGATGTTCACTCTAAAATTAGTATCTATCACTTAAAAACAAAAAAATCAAAGAAATTTTTTTGTAAAATTATACATAAAGATCAAATTTTAGGATATATTTGCTATTGAATCAAGACCAGGATATATTTCTCCATAGATCTTGATATTTTTTAAGTAATATTTTAATATGCTTTTCTCAGTCTTTCATATTTGTGTTAATGTATTATTTTTGGTGGACTTTTTATTCCATTTAAGGCCTGTTTTTTAACTTTTTATTCCATTTAAGGCCTGTTTTTTAATCAATTTTTTTTAATAGTTCAAGAGAATAAAGACAGTTTAGGACCCATCCAAGGCAACCACACACTCTTCCCTGACTCTCCTTTTACTATGATTCCATTTCTTATTTAACTAAAAACAACTCTTTAATGATTGAGGCATCTTCTGTGGACTTGCAAACAAATAAGGCCTGGAGAATAGAAAGATGATTCTGAAATATTCCAGGCCCTAAAAGAGAGAAATAGACAACATTTATTTACTTCTGGGGTTCAGGCTGAAAGCAGTTAAGTCTTGAGACAATGATAAGAATACAGGTATTCTTAAAGAAAGCTTGTATTGTGAAAATTAGGACAATAAGGAAAAGTGGCACTGGATCATGGATAACTCGGGAAAGGATCTCTTTATATCTTTATCAGGTGCCAGGGAACAAACTGATGTTTTTCTGGAACTTTGACTGAAGCCTGGAAGCTTGCCTGACTGTCCACCACACACTTACCAGGACAGACTGCTATACGGTACAAATAACAAAGCCACCATGTAACCCATCACAACTCTTGGTCCTGTACCCCTAAATAAAACAGAGGAATAAGTAAGCAATAGAAAAAATATAGTACTAGCCTACTAAACTGTAGGATTTTAGCAGAAGGTGGCAGGGAGAGAATGAATCAATGAATGAATGAAACGTAATTATTAGAATACCCTAAACAGGTGGAATTCAATGAAATAACATTGCTGACAGCAACTAATAAGAACATGAAGAAAATAAATAAGTATATACAGAGACTTGATTATAGTATAAATGTTATTTTCTGTAATGCAAAATTTGTTTTTTAAATGTAAAAATCCTATAGATAAAATGCAGTGTATATTTACTATTGAGATTTGAATTGTGGCCTGGAGGAGGATCCTGGAAGAAGTGGACACAGTACTGAAAACACAGAGTAAAAATCCTATTATGGAAATCATGAGGGAAGAGATGAGAGAATCAGAAGATCCAGAAAAATTAATTTGGAAATAACTGGCTACTAGAAGGAAAAATATAGGAATAATTGGGTTTGAGACTATAGCTAAAATATAATAAAACAAAAAATAACAAATAGACTGGAGAAAATTTTACAATGTACTGCACATTTTCAATCTGCCTCTATTGATTAGAAAGGCTATACAAAACCATATTCTGAAATAATATCAGCCTATAGGAATAGAGATTATCCTAGTTTCTGGAAGAAAAGAAAGAAAAATAAAAGTAACAAATAAATTAGGGTGGTCTTGGAGTTTTCTTTTGTATTACATTTGAGCAATTGAGATAAAACAACAATCAAATACCAACCAAGATGACATTTAGCTGTTGGGGCTAAAGGTAAATATTTGTGGATATACAAGGATTCAGAGAATGTATCACATATGAGGAAAACTGTTAAAGCATCTACAGGCAAAAATGAGTTAGAACACAGGTCTCAATGTAATCAATATAGAGATACGTAAATGAGTGGAAGAAATAAATCATGAGTTCTTGTAAATTTATATATGTAAAATATGAAATTTGGAATGGAGATATTAAGCAAAATTATCATAAAGTTATTTTATCTATTATAGTTAGAATGAAGCCTTGAAGAAATGGAGCATCTTGGTGTGTGACACTTAGTATGTTATTTTCATGTACTATTAGAGAAGTAAATATTTTGAGTCTCATCAAGAAGGAAGTAAGTTAAACTGATTGTAACTGTGTGGATTTTTGCATTGTTTGAGAGCACTGCATCCAACAGGCCATCTGTTATACCTTACATATCACGGATATGTATTTTATTACAATTTTTAAAAAGATGTAATTAAAGTTATTATTCTAACAAAATATAGTATGATAATTTTCTGATTGACTTAATTTTTTAAAATTTTTAATTTTTGTGAGTACATAGTAAGTGTATATATTTATGGGTTACAAGAGATGTGTTGATACAAGAATGCAATGTGTAATAATCACATCATGAATTTGGGGGTGTCCCTCCCCTGAAGCATTTGTGTGTGTGTGTGTGTGTGTGTGTGTGTGTGTTACAAACAATCCTATTATACTCTTTTAGTTATTATAAAATGTACAATAAAATTATTATTGACTATGCTCACCCTTCTGTGCTATCAAATACTAGACCTTATTTATTCATTTTAACTAGTTTTTGTGCCCATTAACCATCTCTACCTCCCCAACAGTCCCCACCTCCCTTCCTGGCCTCTGGTGATTATCTTTCTATTCTGTCTCCATAGTTAAATTGTTTTGATTTTTAGATCACACAAAAAAGTGAGAAAATGCAATGTTTGTCTTTTTGTGCCTGACTTACTTTCCTTAACATAATGATCTCTAGTTCCATCCATGTTGCTACAAATGGCTAAATCTCATTCTTTTTAATGGCTGAGTAGTACTCCATTGTATATATTAAACAGGATCATTTTTCTATTAACAGAATGTGGCAGTTGGGAATTGTGGCTCATGTCTATAATCCTAGCACTTTGTGAGGCTGAGGCAAGACTATCCGTTGAACCAAAGAGTTTGAGAACAGCCTGGGTAACAGAATGGGACTGCCTATCCATAACAATAATAATAATAATAATAATAATAATAATAATAATAATAATAATAAAAAATTAGCCAGGCACGGTGGTACATGCCTATAGTCCCAACTACTTGGTGGCTGAGGAGGGAGGATCGTTTGAGCCTGGCAGGTTGAGGCTGCAGTGACCTGTACTCTTGCTACCACACTCCAGCCTGGGTGACAGAGTGAGACCCTGCTTCAGAAAAACAAACAAATAAAAGCCAAAATCCAAAAAAGTGACCAAATGGGCTAGTCACTATAGACTAGTTGGTTTATGAACAGTAGGAATTTATTTCTCATAGTTCTGGAGGCTAGGAAGCCCACGATCAATGTGCCAGCAAATTTGGTGTCTGGTGAAGACTCTCTTCTTGGTTTTTAGGTTGCTGTCTTCTTGCTTTATCATCTCAAGATAAATACACAAGAGAGCTCTCTGGGATCTCTTGCTAAGAGCAAATCCCATTCATGAAACTTATGACCTTATGAATTATTACTTCCCAAAGGCCCTACCTCCCAATACCATCATATTGGGGGTTAGGATTTTAACGTATGAGTTTAGGGGAGATACACACTTTCAGTCAATAGCATTCTGGTCCAGGAATTGCTCAACTGTGTTCTTCTTGTCTGCTGCATAGATAAAACAAACTTACTGAGACTGCAGTGTTGCAATAGGGAAAGAATTTAATAACCTCAGGGCCAGCCAAGTGGAAGGATGGGAGATATTTCTCAAATTTGCCTTCTTAAAAGCTCAGAGGGTAGGGTTTTTAAGGATAATTTGGTAGACAGGGGGCTAGAGAATGGGTGCTTCAAATTATATCATAGGAGTACCCAAACTCTCTTTGCATGCTGAATCAGTTTCTGGGTTGGGGGGTCATAGGACTAGCCATGCCGGCTGTTTGGTAAGAGTCATGGGTCCTGGTGAAGTCAATCAGTCACCAGCATGCAAAAATCTGAAAAATATCTCAAAGACCAATGCTAAGTTTTGACACTAATGATATTATCTATAGTAGCAATCGGGGAAGTTATAAAAATCTTGTGATCTATGGAGCAGTAAACAATTATAGAAAGGTAAGCTAGGGGGCAATGACTGGTTATTGTTTAACTATCCCTATATCTTAGCAGAATTCAGCTTTCTCACATAATCTTAACCTTGTCGCCCTTTATTTGTTTTAAAAAATAAAAGGTTTTGGTCCCCAAGCAAGAATTGAGTTAGTTTCAAGAAGGAACTCTTATATTTGTTTTAAAGTTAACAAAGGCATTTAGCTTATGAGGTGAGAAGCAAGATGAAGTCAGTTAGGTTAGACTTCTCTCACTGTTACAATTTTTGCAAAGGTGGTTTCAGTCTCTCATAATTCATGTCTTTCTCCCATGCACAATACATTCATTCCATACTAATAGCCCCAAAAGTCTTAACTTGTTCCAGCATCAACTTTAAGGTTTAAGTCCAAAATCTCATCAAAATCAAATATGAGTGAAACTCAAGATATGAGTCACTGTAAGGCACACACATCTCCAGTTGTGAACCTCTAAAACCAAAGAAGTTATGTGTTTCCAAAGTATAATAGTGGTACAGGCCTAGAGTGGACATTTCCATCCCAAATGGGAGAAACAGGAAAGAAAAAATGAGTGACAAGTCCCAGGTAAGTTCAAAACCTAAGGAGACCAACATTAGACCTTACAGCTAAAAAATCATCCCTTTGGCTCCATGCTCTGCCTTCTAGATCCAGGGAGATACTGCCTCCTAACACTACCCAGCAGAGGTTACGTCCCCAGAGCTTTGGATAGCCTGCCCCCACAGCTTTGTGCAAAGTCCAGCTGCCCTATTGAATGGAAGGCCATGGTCCCCAATTTTGAAACTAAGGAGGCAGCCTTAATACTCTCTGAATGGCCGGGCGCGGTGGCTCACGCCTGTAATCCCAGCACTTTGGGAGGCCGAGGCAGGCGGATCACGAGCTCAGGAGATCAAGACCATCCTGGCTAACACGGTGAAACTCCGTCTCTATTAAAAATGCAAAAAAAAATTAGCTGGGCGCGGTGGCAGGCGCCTGTAGTCCCAGCTACTCCGGAGGCTGAGGCAGGAGAATGGCCTGAACTCGGGAGGCGGAGCTTGCAGTGAGCCGAGATTGCACCACTGTACTCCAGCCTGGGCGACACAGCCAGACTCCGTCTCAAAAAAAAAAAAAAAAAAAAAAAAAAAAAACTCTCTGAATTGCATTCAGGGTCATTCTTCCTTTGGCATAGGGCATGTTCAAAGACAAATAGTAAGACTTTCATCCTGTGAAATTCAAGAAGTTCAAGGACCTGCCTTCATTACTTCCTGTTTCCTTCCTCTTCAGTTTAAAATGGCAGTTTTTCTGCTGAGGAAGCTGATTAAGTCTATGCTTCACACTCATGCAAATCTCTTTATCAATGAGAAATTTGGCTTTATCTTTAGTGTAAGTTACTGAGTCATTACTAGTAGTTTACAGAAATTATGAAAACTGTTTTTCCCCCTGAAATGTTCTCTAATGCGCCTTTTATACCTCTTGCCCTTTGCACAATTTTGTAAGTAATAAAACCTCTGCATAAATTCATTCCTGCTTAAAAATGTCCATAACGTTACTATGGCTTGCTGGTAATTGCCTGATAAAATAGTGTAGAGGATCTTTATATGCTTGTTCATAAATATATTTGTTACTGCTTTTATTACTAATATTATTATTTCTCATTGTTTTGTGCCAGGCATGATGTTATACGATTTCACATATTCTACAATCCCCATCACAGACCTGAACAAATGGACATGTGTAGCTACTATTTTTAGGGTTGAGAACACTAGGTATCAACAAGTTTAAATAAATTTCCAAAACTAACTGTTAAGTTATAATCCAGGATTTGAACCCACATTTTTGTGGCTTGAAATCATTTACTCTTTAATATAAAATAACGCTTCTTACAAATGGCTTCATTCAGAAATTTTTTTTTCACTTTTGCTTCTATTAAATTTAGGTCATTCTTATTTAGGGTATTTTTTCCAAGTAATACTGTTTACATAAACTTGTATTATTATTACTATTATTCCAAGTTATTTTAGAAAACTTTTATGTAGCCTAATCAAATCACTCATTTTCTTAGTATATTAGCTGTGATGCAACTTCTACTAACATTATCAGACAATTAACACCTCTTTAATGTAACATATTGCAAATTGAGCTGTGGTGACAAGAAGTCATGGTAGCAAACTAATTAACAGAATGAAATTGATTCTTGCTTAATAAATATTTAAGAGGAAATAAAATTTAGCAGTGAAAAAACTGAAATGGCTGTATGTTCAGCCAATTTAAATACTGAATGTGTATTAGTAGGTGAGAAGGGGGACTTATTTGTATAACTAACGTAAGTTAAAAGTTTCTTCTTTTGACAGTCACAAGAAGCAATTCTTTAAAGATTTCTTCTTTAAAGGAAATGGGTAGACTTATTCTTTCTTTAAAGATATGTGAAAATCTTTAAACCTTTCTTAGTCAGAAGTCTTTCAGCAGCAAGTGATAGAAACCCATATTAAAAACGTTTTAGCAAAAGAAAACAATACACAAAGAGGACTTTCTTGGTGTCTCTATCTGGGAAGTGTAAGGGTCATGTTATCTTCAACCACAGTTGGACACAAGGACTAACACAACGTTTTTAGGGCTTTGTTTCTCCAGGTGGTAATGTACATGTTTGCTGAGTCCTCACAGTTACTTCTCTATTCCATTCATCTCCATCCTGCAACTTACCTTAGCAGCCCCAGTGACATGTCCACATGTCAATCCTCTGAAGGATACTGAATAATTGCATATGTTTTTAAACAAATCTATGTATGTAACAAATATTTACATACCGCATTCTATATTTCAGACATCCTTCTAAGTATTACAGACATTAACTTATCAATCCTCTTAACAATGTAAAGATAGTTATACTATTGTTTTCTCCCTTTTATCCATAAGGTAGTTGAGACAGAGGTTAAAGTCACACATTTCATGAGTGGCATAGCCAGGATTAGAACAGTGCAGTCTGATAAAATTCTGTACTGATTCTCCATGTAGGACAAAAAAAAAAAAAAAAGTTGCCAATGCCAAAATGTTGTTCTGATTAGGTCACTATTAGGCTAAATTTACATCTGAGATTGAGGTAATTGTCACTACTAGGATTAGAGAAAAATGAGGAGGAAACACTTCCCATAGAAATATATATGCTGAGCAGAAAAAAAAAAATGTCAATAGATGTTCACAAAAATAAAAGAGTGATATCTTAAGTTTATACATACATACATATGCATATTTATAAACATACATCATGTATATCTATGTGTATTATATATATATTTCTATTTGAGGATTATATGTCATATATAATATGGGCTAAATAGCAAATGTTAACAGTAAAATATAGCAAAAATATATATAGTGATATAGTCCTGAAATTATAATGGGAGATTATCAAGCTAAGTGAGTTTATGTTTATTTACTGATAATTAAATATGATTATGTTGTCAAATAAATGGAAAATTTAACCCCCAGAAAAAAAAATTATTCTGTTTCTTTGTGTTCTTTCCTCCGTTTAATCACAAATCTTCAATTTTTTGAGCCAGAACTAGAAGAGAACATTTACTGATGAGACTTCAGACAAGGTATTAGATTCTAATGAAGTCTTCTCTGAACCATTCTAAATAAGGTGACTCGTTATTATAGTTTAATTATACTTCTTGAATTGTAAAAAATAGGCTGCCATAGTACAATCCATGTGCATTTTCAAAACTCCTGTCACTTAGTGTCTCTATCTGAACTCTTTGCAGAATGTTTTTCTCCTTTTCCATTTTTAATCAGTTCCTTTTATCCGTTTGCGGTGATGAATGTGAATGAGTTAATCTCCTTCCACTTCTTCATTGGGTGAAAGTAATGATTATCTGTGTGCTTTGAGGTCTCCACCCTGACTCTGTAGACACACCTGTGCGCAGCCAATGACAGCATGTCCCCAAGGAATGTGCTTTGTTCTTTCAACTAACCTGCTTCTTCCATGCCCCAACCTGGGTCTCAATGTTGGGTGGGGTAAATGAAGGCTTTGTTACATTCCTTTCTAAACTGCTGCTGAATAGCATATGCTAGTGATGATAATGATCACTTTCCTACCCTCAGCGTTCTGAATATTTAGTCATTTTTTGTTACATGGCTTTATTTTGAATACTTAATTTTTTTATTTCATGTGTCCAAAAAAATAAAAAAATCATGAATTATTTCCTTCTAGGATTGTTAAGGAAGCTCCCTTTATGTGAGTGCTTAGTGGAAGATGAATTAAAATACAGATAAAGGAGGGATCTTATACTGCAAGTAGAATAATTCAAATTATTCTATAAAATTGTAGAAATTAGTAGTGCTTACAATCAACTGGACCTGAGTTAATTTCTTTGATATACTAATTGCTGATGAGACCCTGAATCCCTTCATCTGCAATGTGGAGATAATAATACCTATGCTTTCACATCTAAGGATTAAGTGAGGCTTTATGTACTTATCACATAGCGAATAATAGTGACACACATTTATTAGTAAATGGCATTTATTTTTATTTTATTTGCAACCTTGTTTACAACCTTATTGATAGGAACTCCATTTTGTGACTTAGGCTTCACTCTCATCATGCACCCCAATAACTTCTCACAGGCTTTCATTCTCTCATTTTGACAAACTCATTTGACACACGGAACTATTTAGAGTCCTCAAAAGCATCAGCCTTTTTCTCCTACCTTACATCTATTTATGCCCTGGGGTATCTATGCTTAGATTATATTGCTTTAAAGGGAGTAAACTGAGAAGGAATCTTTTCAGATATTTTAGTTCTGAATTTGGCATAATTCACCAAAATTTGGAACTCTTTAATTTGGTATGTCAAGAAAAAAATAGAGTTATCATGAATCAGTAAATGGCAATATTTTATCCAGCATCAAAAATTTATGGATTTTATTATTCATATGATATTATATAAGCTAAACATGTAAAATGAATTCAAGAAGGAATTAAATTTATGAATGAGAACCAGTAATAGTTTATAAGAGAAAACAAATCTTGCCATGTCCCACAAAGTCTCCCTGACATCATTGTTTAAAGTGAAGACACTTTTGGGTAAGATGCACTGAGACTTTCTCATACTCTTCATTTTCACTGTAGAATTATTTGTTTAAATACTTTATAAATAGGTACATCAAAGTAGATAAATTAAAGCTGCTCCAGTATTTGCTTTTTCTCTTCTTTTCTGAGCTTTCAGGGACATCCCCTAGATAAACATTTTATATCACCCTTCTTTCAGTTTTTAAGCATGTTTTAAACCAAAAAGGTTTTGTTTAAAGATGTTTCAGCAGATTGATTTGAAATAGAGAACTGGCCTAAGGAGAGTCAATTCTTGGCCTATCCTGAGGAAATCTGTCTTCTCAGAAATTTTGTCTCAAAGTCACACTGTACCCTCAGCAATGTGAGCTAAAAGACACAGAGACTAAGAGCAGCAAGAGCTTGATCTAGAAGGCCACACAGGACTGGATTGCAATGTGGAATATGTGCAAAATGGATAAACTAAGTGAGCTAGTCAAGGAGGGGGAAGAATGGAGCAGACGCACCCATGCATAGGTGGAAGTGACAGACACCTTGTAGGCCTCTCTCTAATGGAGGATTGGATTGCTCTCAGTTTTTAATGAAGTTCTTGGTCTTTAAGTAAATTTTGCAGCAGGTCTGGTATGTCTTGGACTATCTCAGATATCTGCATTTATACACAAAATGTAACTTTTATTTCACCCATGATGAGTGGAGTTTTGTTTCTTCTAATCAAAGGGTTCTACACTAAAAAAGACATTTGAGCTATAAATATGGTTGCAAGCAGTGCGACCTAGAAAACATTGAGAGATTGGTTAAGGTATCATCATGGCTGAGAAGAAGACACTCAGAATCTTTCAACCAGGAAGAAAGCTATCAGTTCATAGATTTTTCATAGACAAGAGCTTAACACAAACTTTCAGAAACCAGAACATACAACTACTTAGGGGGAAGAGTTGGGGAAATTTAGTAGAAAAATGTCAGGTTAGTGATATTTATTGTTATTTCTCGGTTACTCCTTATGCCTATAAGAACACTAAGAACACAGAAACACTCCTGTTTGGGAGTATCTGGCTGGAAACAGATGATTAAAAAAAGAAAATAATTATATAAAATTGCTTTACAAAGACATTTCTACTGGTTGCAGGCACTCTGAGACCATTGAGTTTCATGTACAAAAATGCAGCTTGCCAATTGAGCCTGACATAGCAAAGGTATCATTTTAGGTTAAAGTCAATGCTTTCATTGAAACAAATAAAAACCAAAAAACAACAACAAAAACACAGTAAAAGTAAAAACACCCTGGATATTGCAGTAATGTACCTGGAATAAGAAGGATTCCCTGTGTTGCTGGCAAACTCTTCTTGGGGAATCCTAGAAGGACCAGGGTGATCCTTTTATGGGTGGTCAGGCTGCAAACTCACACATCATCTGGGGGCAGTTGAGGTTGTTAGAAAGTTATGGCTAGGCTGGTGCTCTGATATGGGCAGTAACCAGAAATATTTACATATCAGAAGTTGGCTTTTAACACACTCAGTCTCCAAGAATAAAAATAATAAACATATCCTAGAAGAGTTTTATCACCAGAAAATTTTCTTTAACAGGGACAGGTGACTGACTCAAAGTAGCATGGGAATGAGTCCCAAATGCTCATGTAATGATGGGCACTGAGCTGAAAGGCCTGGGATGCAAATACAGAATTCTACAGCTGTACAACCTGGAGGGAAGCATATTCTCCATTGTCCTTCTCAATGCTGATTCTTCTCAGGTAATTGAAGAATTTCACTCTCCTGCTTCAATTGAGCAACAAGAGATTCATCTGGAAATTAAGATAAGCCCTTCAGATTATCACAGAAATAAATGTACCCAAATATTGTAGCCAGTTGACAGTATTTTCCCAAAAGGACTTGTAGATTTGGGTAATGCTCAAACTAAACAGTGAGAGAAGCTCCCAAACAGAGGAGAATGGATCAGATTTGCTGATAAAATCAGAGGTGCAGAAACACTGTAGTCCCCTAGAGAAAGACAGAATACATAATTCGTCATCCATGGCATCATTCCATTTCCACTTCCCAGGAAGCTGCCTCTACTTTGGATCCATGGTATCTCTAGCCATACCATAGAACTGCTTTTCAGCTAACTCATTTGAAAGGGCTTATATTGCTTTCATTTAAGAGACCTGGCTAGCAGAATTGGAGAATTCATCATTACTTTTTTATCTTACTTCAGAGTGCCAGTCACTCCACCATAATTATCACTGTTTCTCCACTTTAAAGTCTATCCATTTTCTTGAGAACTTTTTGGAACTGAACCAAATACAGTAGTTAGTACACTACAGACTTACAGATTGCTGAAGGACTTTCATTGCCCTGTTCCAGGGCCTTTGTGTATAAAATCCTAAATTACTTCTGTGCCTTTGGATCACTATATCCTATTTCAAGTGCATTTTGACATTTCAGATATTTCCTGAGTTCTCTCTGACATTTCAAAAACAACTGGCCATTGATTTTTTTCATTAGTTATGTCCCCCAAGTCCATGTGACACTTAGCGCCAGATCCAAAGCGCCCTATATTAAAATATAACAGCTGACAAGCTGCAAGGGCAGGTCTGGACCAACCAACCTTCTTTCATTCTCTGCCATGATGTAATAAACATTATCCTGCCACAAAGCTGAGAAGCCTCTTGTCTTATGACACCTACTGAGAATGCACAGTTTGAAACTGCCACCATGGTGAATAGGAGAAATGTACTCTGGTGACTAGGGTCTATTTACTGATGGTAGTTTAACAGAGGGCAATGGCAGGTATTCATGCTGTATAATGAGTATTTATTATGTGCCGATTGTAACTGAAGGCACTTGTTATCATTTGTGTGAAAATCATCTTTAGAAAAGCAATCAAAGCAATAAAATAGCAGCTTATGCATAACAAAGCAGCAAACTGAGATCTGATAAGTCTACTATTAAGATAATTTATTTATATATTAAAATTCTATTTCTCATGTATGACTTTAGTGAAGTAATATTACTTTGTGTCATATGTAGAGTTCAGGGCATCTATGATTTTAAATACATTTTAAAATTATAAATCATTTTTTATAAGGTCCTTTTTAAGGAGATTTTAAAACTTATTCTTATTGATGAATGCAACAGTGACTGGAAGGAACAGAGCAAGAAATATTTCTTTTCAAACTCATCCTTGCAGTGTTTCAAGGAAAGGTCTTCAATTGGTCTATTTCCTGATCAAGATGTTTGTTTTCACAAAATAATAAAAGTTTTCTATTTGCAAACCAGCTCAGCTTATAGTGAGCCAATTATCTATGTTAACCCATTCCATTTACACCCTAGAAGATGCAGATAGAGGGAAAGGAAAGCAAATAGAGGGGTTTTATAATGATTAAATGAGTTGGGAAAGAATCAGGGACAAAAAGAAAAAATCCAACAGTCTTATATCCTACATGAACTTGGCAGGTCCTGGTCATGTGGACATGAGCCCACATATTTTCTATTCTACGAAAATTTCTATCTCAAACAAATTACTTAAGCTGATGTATTTTTTTCAGGCTTAATTTTATCATTTGTAAAATACAAAAATACTACTTGCCTCACAGAGTTGTTAGGATTAGATGGGCTGTCATATGAGAAAGGCCCTGTAAGATACTTGAGACTTAGTTGAGACTATATATATATACACACACACACTCACATTATATATATATATAGTATAGTTATAATATAACTGTAGTATTATATATTATAATTTTAAATGCTTCATTGAACATTTCATTATTTTCAAGAGTCCAAATCATTTCTAAAATAATATATTTCAATTCTGAGCAAGAATAAATCATTCTGCAGAAATGAAGTAGGTATCCATACACAAATTAAAGTATATTTTTAACTTTCTGAAATGTTTCATAATCCTTATCCAAGGAGTTTGTGTTTCATGTGGTTGGTTAAACTTGTAATTTTCTTTCTGAATTATTATTTCTATATTTTGTTCTTTAAAAATTCTGCATAAATCCAATAGAAAATTATTTTAATTTTTAATATTGTGCAGCCAAATATTTACTATAAGGACTTACAATGTATGTGACTTACTTACTATTAAAAATCAATAAATGTTTAAAATTTGGTGAAATTCAGACAGCATATCACAAGTAAATGCTGCACTGGAGACGTAATAATTTATTATTTCTCAATATTTATTGGCATTGTTGGAATAATTGGACTGTTGTATTTTATTTGTTAACTAACACCTTGGCTGATGCTTATGATATCAGCACTAAGGGTTACAAAACCATATGCTACAGCTTCATACTGCTGAATTTCTGGGCAATTGAAACCAACAGGGATGGCTTGAGCGACATTTTAAAATTGTTTCTTTCCTCTGAGTGGTTTTCATTTAATCACAATAATACTCTGGGTTCTGTCTTAGGACCTGAAGTCTTTTGAAGGAACACAGCTAACAAGACATATGTCCTTTTATACTATTTTCATTTGTTAATATCATGGGATTGTCTTTGCAGTGACCACAATGAGTTTATTCAAGGAAATTAAGCGCAGCTAGATGAAAAATGAGCAAAAAACAGGTTGGTAATAAAAGTAAAATATTGCCCAACAGGGGCTTTTGGCAAAACAGACTTATCACTTTTGTCAAACGTTGTTAAAGTAGCTATTTGGAACATTGTCTATGGAGAGTGTGTTCATGTTTAAGGTCAATAATGAAGTAGGCTGCCTGTGGGAATACCTCCCACGATCTCCTTCTAGCTATATACCCCCATGTCTACTCTTGGCTTCTCACCAGCAAAAGAAACTTACCACTAATTTAGCCTGTGTTACTTTATCCATATAGGTGCCAATCTGTTCTATTACTTGGAGTTTAGTTTCTGTCTTAAAAACAGAATGGATAAAGGGTTATAAGGGTTTCCATGAATTTGTTTATTCCAACTGTTGCTTTCAGCAACTTGGGAAATTACCCTAGGATGGGTTGAAAAATTCACTGGGTCCACTGAGAGAACAACTCAGGCCATAATTCTATCAGCCAATTTCCAAAAGCCTAAACTTTGGCCAGTTGATTCCAGTAGTGTTTTTGGTACCCAGAAATTAAATCAACTCAGTGTCACTGTTTATAGATCTCTGAATGGTGTATTCTCTCTTTTACCAGTGTGTATGTAGCCATGTTGATAAATGGCCTGAGTCCCTTTAGGGAAAACTTTAAGGAAGATTTACAGACCTTTCTTGGCAAAGCATTTCAGTGTCCTTCTTTAAGTGGACCTTCTGGTTTTTCATTTAAAGAGTTTGGCTCTATGACATAGCTCTGGAATAGAAACTTGGTTGGAGGGATGAGACTCTCCGTTATGGTGACTGAAATTAGACGTCTGCTCATGAATCCTAGTGTTTCTCTGTGATTATTCATTAACAAATTATTTAAAAGGCGTATCCTCTATTTTATTTCTAGTGATTAATTAGCTACTGCCAAAAATGTCAGTGGGCCAAAATATTCTGACGACTGCTCTGGACCTGTTCTCCATTATAGCAGCTGTGCTCACCCTACTTCAGGTGATGAGGTAGTGAGGTCCTATCTTGTGTCCTCTGCCGTCCCAGAAACTTATATTTCAATGGTAGCATCTCCCCCCTTTATCTCTGACCTGCAGAGAACAATCATGAGATTTTCTAAGAATGTCAGAACCTGTCTCATTCCTGCATCTCTCAAATTTGGGAGATAATGGGAGACTGGTGGGTGGGTTGCACATGAAACAATAATGCACTTCAATATTTGTATCTCCGTATGCCTTTGGATCTTTCTTCTAGTAATATATTATCATCAGGAAATCTTGGCATCTTAAGCTCATTTTGATGTAATTCACTGTTATGTCCTGCTCCCAGTCAACCAACCAATAATTGTTAAAGCCACTCTGAGCAGCTGAAGCAAACACATTGAATTGAGGGACTTTGGGAAGTTAATCGTAGTAATAAATTCAGACATTTACCCTTTTCCCATTTAGAAAAAAAGTGCAGCTCTCTGCCAGTGCTCATTTAATTTTACACAAACAAGCTTTTGAATGCTGAAGCAAATCTGATTGATTTGCAATGTGAAAATAAAATATGCAAATGGTTCTTGGAGTTATTTATAAACAGAACTAACATCAGAATCATCTGAATCATCAGAATCATCCATTTCAGAAAAATAGAACTCATCAAATGAATCTTTGGCCAACAACTGTTCGAGAGCAATGTTAACATCATATGTAGGGGTGCTACATTTTCTTGGATTTGACATTTTCAGCGATCATGAATTACTATGTTTTGTAAACGGAAATACCACTACTTAAAACAGAATGCTACGAAGAGAATGATGTCTTTTGTTTCCAAAGTTGATACACTAGAGTGATGGGAAAATAATAATAAAAGGAAAAGATTTCATGGCAAAGTTATCTCAGGGTAAAGACTGCAGCCACAAGTGCTTTCGAGTGTATTCTCACGGCAAACGGAATATATATAGGAAACCGATTACTTAAACTGACTGCAGGAGCAGGAAGGTTGTGTTATCCAGAGCTCACAAAACCCTGCTACTGAGGCTCCTAGAGCTATGTTGTCTCTGCTGCTGTTAAAACCACTGCCTCTGACACAGGGCAGGAAGCCGGAAGCCCACAGTCATGACATCTCCTTTTCTCCTACCACCTATTCTCCAGCTAGTGCTACTTATCAGCAGAACCACATCGAAACCTTTTAGGCAAGTGCACAGGATGACTTCAGTTGGGAGGCTTCCTCTATCTGGCTGAATAGAGGAGAGAACAAATGGGTGAGTGTGGAGGTTAACACCCACTCTTCAGCGCACTTATACTCATTCCCCTTTTTAGAATGTACCACAAAGCTCTCCAGGCAAACTGCCAGATGTAATAAACAGCAATTGAAGGAATTTCTAAATTTTAAGAAATTTAAAAGATTCGGTGACCTTCTTTTCTTCTTTTGCTTTACAGTCTCAGGTGATTCTGGACATGTTACTTCCTTCTTACTGCAGCCCTTCTTTACCTAAGAGTAGAGTCTTTTGACTCTTTTTTTCATTCTCCTAATGATTACATTCTTTTTGCTTTACTTAGAAATGGAGAAAAAAGTTATTTCATCGTAATGTTGATACAAAGTGAACTATTTATTATTAACCTATTTTTCAAAAATATTGATATAATGAAGGAATTAACATTTATTAGAAGAAATAAAATAGATGAACAATTTCTTCAAGTTTTATCTTGATCTCAGTGTCTTGAAGCTCATCAAGCTTCATATCAATGTCGTTCTTATGCTCTCAAAAGGAATACATTCTGCTTACCATTATTGCCTTAAATAATATGTACAAGTACATGAAGTACTAGCACCACATTCCACAATGTAATAAATTTAATTTATCAAATAAAAAATGAAGAAAAAGTCATACTACAGGTGCTTCCTCATTTTGAGGACCAAAGTTAAATAAAGAGGCCATTGTATATTAAAATATAAACAATATTTTCACTAGTTTACATCAACGAAAAACTGTTGTAACATGCATTTCTCTCCCACTGCACATATTCAAGTAATGAGAAATTTCTGAGTTGGCTAACCTATGATTTTTAAATTGTCACCACTGTAACTTGATGATTTAGGTTTTCCAGTTTTATGAAAAATGTGTATTGAATAGGCTTTACTTCTATTTCTTTTATTTTATCTCCTTTCAGATCCATCTGGTCACCTTCCCGGTGATGAGCTCTGTCTTTGGTCTGTTGCTAGTCCTTCCGGAGGCAGCGGTCACTACCATCTAGAATATCTTGGTCATGATGAGTTTGCAGGCTTACTCAAGTTCTATTTTTTCACATCAATTTCTACCATCCTGAAATATCCATAATCTTAGGTTTGTCCTCATGATTTATTTTATTTGGAAATTCAGCATTTCACACAGTGAACTTATTTGCAATGAAATAACACTCAAGTGGTTTACAATTACTTGGTTAACATTAGTCTGTTTCTCATAATTATAAACTACCTAAGTGCAGGACTGATATCTGTTCTGGCTTACCATAAAATCTCTTGGAACCTAAAAAATGCAGTGTGCCATGCCTGACATTCAATAAATAATTTTTACATAAAAATATGGGAAGGAAACCATATTTGGGATGTTAGAATTAGGTTCAGAGAAATGTGTATAGTTTTCATAGGAAGTAAACAAAAAGATAGACTTTGGAATGGAATAGGAGAGTACACTATGTTTTCATGTAACATCAGATGCCAGTTGAGCTGTCAACGGCAGGAGGTGAGGTGCGATTTCTGATTTTAAGCAGGGCCAGGGCAACAAAAAGAAATGGAAAAAGTCAGGATACTTGGGGGATAATTCAAGAATAGGACTTGATGATAAGCTGTGGGAGGCTATATGTACTTAGGGAAAGAATGGTGCTTTTGGTTAAAGTAGGGAATGCAGAAGGAAGAGCTGATTTGGAGAAACAATCATTTGTTCAGTTTTTAATGTTCAGTTTGTGATGTTGCTGGGATACCCCGCTGGTTGACAATTTAGGCCTATTGAAGAGGTGGTGGGTTGGGATGTCATTGAATCAGAATCAATTTTGCTGCTGACTGCTTGAATTACAGGAAACCAACTTGGGCCTGTAGTTCTTATGTGTTAAATAAGGATCCTGTTTAGGGGCTAGACGATTACTACGTTTTCTGTTTTCAAGTTTGCTTTTCCACTCCTCTAGAATTTGTAAAAATTCTGGAAGAGCATAAAATATACTTAAAATTTTTTTTATTTTTCTGATAGCGATAAAAATATAAGAACATAGCATTTATTATATTAACCATTTTTAAGAGTACAATTCAGTGGAATTATGAACCTTCATAATGTTGTATAGGCATCATCACTATCCATTTCTGGAATGTTTTTTCATGATTCCAAACAGAAACTCTCTACACATTAAACAATAACTCTCTCTTTCCCCCTTTTTCTAGTTCTTGTAACCTACATCATACTTTCTGCCTGGCTGAATGAGGTACATAGAATAAGCAAGTTCATAGAAAATGTACTTTTTAAATTTGCATTTAGAAACTTATGAATGTCTGCATGATATTGTTCTCATGTACAATATACAATTACATACAAATATAGTCTCAGGAATATTAGAATATATTATCGTTGAAGGGGTTATTAGAATATATTATCATAGAAGTTGTATAGAAGGCTTTTAATAGGGCTTTTAATTCTAACAACTATAATTCAGTTCTAAGAACACTGTCATCTCTAACAAGAATATATAAAGGCTATATATGTATATAAAGGATATTATATACAATGATAATAATAATATAATTGCATATATATTATATCCAATAATTATATGTATAATTGTAAAGTCTTTAAATACGTATATGCAATGGAATACATATTTACAAAAATGAATTGTTTTTTGAGTCTAGATGTCATAGTTTATCAGAAAAATGTCTTTGAGAGAGTACCTTTAGAATTTCAAGGATTCCAATCAAGGCCTAGAAAAATAAAGTATTGCAGTAGGATCAAAATGAATGCTTGATAAAAGTTCTTCTACAAAAAAGTACAATTTTTCAGTGGTCTGACTTTTGCCTTTCTCAGGCAGTGAATAAATACAGCATACAAAAAGCATAACTTTGGTGGTTTATAGCTCGAGCATTAAAAATATCTAACATGAGCCCATAGCTCATGCTTTATATTCAGAAAATAAAAATGCCTTTGACATTGTCTAATATTAATTATTCTAACTAGGTTTGTGAATTCTTGTTAAGATTCATTCAGATAATATTTAAGATCTACTAATTACAGATGTAATATTCTCTATACATGCTCTGAAATTAATTTAATCTGGCAATATTTCACCTAAACATTTAGACAAGCTAATCCTAAAATATACCTACTTTTCAGATTTAATTTTATATGTGGGTCATATATCACTGATATTCACCACTTTGATATCCTTTTCTCCCTAAATGCTCAAGAGCAGTTTCTATGTGTGGTATTATAAGCACGTGTGTGAGTGTGTTGGGGTGTGGTGGTGGGGCAATGGAAAAACAGGTAGTTGTGCTTTCAAATAACTTACAGTTCAATGTCAAACTAGTAATATTCATAATATATTTAAGGGAGTCCAGGAAATGGTACGATAATATAAAAAAGAATAAGGTAGATCGAATTGCTGTAGTTTGTGAGCTAAAGTCATAAGATACATTTACATTATTTTATTTTTCTGAATATTACCTTTGGGAGAAAATTATCTTTTTTCCTCTCTACCATATATTTCTTATTTCTTCTGTCAGAAAATGGATTAGTATTTATGTATTCATTTATTTACTCGTCAAATATATAATGAGCTTTCCTGTAGGTCCTGGGGATACAGTGGTGAACAAGATGCCTAAGTTTTTGCCTGCGAGATTATATTGTAAAGAGAGAGAGAAAGAGATATGAAATAGCATTAACTGCTTTGTAGTGAATTAAAATACAGGGATGTAGTGGTATATGAATAGTTGGGTGGGTTGTCAAGCCAGGCTTCTTTATGGAGGTGACCTGCAAGCTGAGATCTGTGTATTTGAGAGTCGCCAGCCTCGTGATGATCAAAGAGAAGGGCATTCCAGGCACATAGGCCAGTCGGTGCATGAAGCCCTGAATTAGGACAGAGATTTGGCAGAGAGCAGAAATGAGATAAATACAGCTGAGAACAGTGAGCCAATGAGGAAAGCAGTGTAAGTTGGGGTTACAGAGGTAGACAGGGGTCACACAACTTATGGTAAAAACTTCCGTCACTAGTTGGGCATTAAAGACCCTCCATAATCTGTCACAATCTACTTATCTCACTAAACTTCCACTATACTCTATTATTTTGCTCATAGTATTCTACACAAACCCGTGGCTTTTTCATCTCTGTCATTTTATAGCAGAATTCTGCCCACTTAGAATGTATTTCCCATTTTTCTACATATCCAGATACCAGTAATTCTTCAAAGTCTGTTTCTTTATAAACCACAGTATAAAACTGATAATATTTTTAATGTAAAATCCTGTGGAAAATATTTTAGAACAATTAATTTATATCTGGTATTTTGATATACTGTCTAGGTTGATGCAATTACATATATATATATTTTTTTCTTTTTTGTGTTGTTCTTTTCTCATTAAAAATGAAATATATGCTCCTAGTAAGACTGTTTGAAATCAAAGATACAAAAGAACACAAGGAAATGAAAATCAAATTGTTTTATTACTACCATCCAGAGATATCACTGTCAACATTTTAATCAGAAAACCACTCGCTATTTTTAACTTAAAGATATTTTAAACATTTTATTAATCCATCCATATTTAAGAATAAACAACCTGCTATTTTTAACTTAAAAATATTAGATTTAATGTCATAAATTTTTTATTTTAGATAAGTTATCATTTCATTTTTTGTATATAAAGTATTTTAATCAACCCTAGAATTATATGTTTGATTGTTTTCTGATTATTCACAGACTAGCAACATTTCAATGAAAAAAAATTTTTTGGCTAAGTCTTTGTTCAATTATACGCTTATGTTTTCAAGATAAATTTTTATGAATGGAATGACTGGCTCAAATGTTATGCAAAATTTCAAAGTTTATGATACTTATTAATAATTGGCTATTCTGAATTCAACAACAGTCTTATAATTCTTTTATTGTTATGTAAGATTGTACACATTAGTAACTTATACTCTTTACTGGTGAAGACTGCACCTTTAATTTAAATTCTTCATATAATTTAACAGATTGCTTTTTCTTTTAAAGCAGTGAACATATTAAACCATAATTTTACTGGACGATAAGCAATGAAAATAATCTTTGCATATCTATGGGCTTCATACTGTGCTGATTTCTCTCATACCCAGTTCTTCATAGAGATGATCTTGACATTACACACTGGCTTAATGCTGGCACTAGATTTGCTGGCAATAATAAAGGCTATGTTCTGAATTCAAGACATCCTGTCCTAATAGGAAATTAATCAAACCACATGTTTATATTGTCAGTAATGCTGAATTATTTAATGAGTCATAAGAACAATGTTTATCTTTTGAAATTATGCAAAATTAAAAATATGTCCACAGAATAATACTTTGTTTTATTTTTTATGGCAGTAAACACTGCCTAGCTCTTTGCTCATTCTTAAATTCAGTATAGAATTAAAATGAATGACTAAAAAAGTTTATAAACAACCTCCCTTGATCCCATTTAGCAGTAGCCTATAAATGTAGCCAATATCTTCATACAGTTGCATCTTCAAATTTTAAAATTCAATATACATTTGACCACTTAAATCTCATTAGATAGTACTTGAATAAGAACCATTGCCTTAGAGATGCTAGAAATATTTCTATCTATTTTCACAATGTTCACTTAATAAATAGAGTATTAAAATACCAATGTTATTTTATAAAAAATCTTCACATAAACAACATCAGCAGAATTAAGCTAAAAATCAAGTATTTAGAAAAGGAAAGGCTTTTCTTTGCCCTGCTGAGAAGGGCACTTTAGTTGATGATGGTGCTACCCCTACTGCTCTTAAGTAAATGTCCACTCCAGGGGTCAAACAAATATAGAATAATATATGAAAACAATCATACCAATGTGCTAATTTACAAGTGATTTGGAATGTCTGAGAGATCACCTACTGTTCTCTATAACTTTTTGTGGCATGAGACAATATTCTCAAAACTTGAAACAGGTTTACAAAAGAAAAATTGCCTTTTTACTTCTTACATATTAATACTTTCAATTTAAGATTTGCTTTAGAAATAGAAAAAAATAATAGCAGGAAGAAAGTTTAAATAAATTTTATGTGAAATGTCAAATTTCTGATATTCTATATTTCAAATAAAGTACAAACGATTATAAAATAATTCTAAAACACTACAGAATATTACTTATTTGTGACAAAATACAGCAATGCAAAAAAGCTCATTAACATGTAAATTTTGACCATTTTAGTATTATTATATAACAGTGTACAATGCAGTGTACAGCCTATGGCATGGCGGATTTGGATTGAATTATTGTCAATAAGATGAATATTTAGGCACACTGGGGGAACTGAGTGTTATACAACATACAAATGTCTGCAGTCTTTCTCTATGCTATTAATTTCTTTAAAAATTTTGGCATATTATTCTTTCTTAAACCGGTTTTTAAGCATTTTTACTGCCAAAAGCACTAAATATGACGGTTTAAGGTATCTGCAGATTCAATTAACAATCTCATTTAGCATTTTACAGTCATGACAAATAAATTATTTGTCTAAAAATTTAGAGAATTTGAACTAGCCACAGACATGTTGCCAAATACCTATGGCATACTGTCACTGTTACATCACAAACCAACCATATATAAAAACACACTAAGAGAACATTTTTAGAATAGAGAAAAAAATACAAATATTTAGGTGACTTTCTTTTTCACTCACTCAGATACTTGGCACTGGGCCCAAAGCAAAACAGATCATTTTTCCTTTATAAAAACACTTCTTATGACTTCCAAATTTCTGTTGAAAAAGTTACTAATATTTAAATCACTCATATTTATAACCATGAAGTTATGCTTTAATTATCCATTTCCTTCACTCTGTCATCAAATCTGTCACCAAGTTTTGTCTATTTAACTTCTGTACTATTTTGTCATTATTTTTTCTATTCCCATTGCCAGAACTCGTACTGCATATCCCCTGAACTATTTCAATATGTCAGGGTGGAGATTTAGCTACTCATCTGGGACACAGTAAAATACATCGTAGATACAAGAAACAGACTGAGTTGCACGAAGCATTCATATAGCTAAAATGTGAGTTATATAAAAGTTTGTCAGTAATAGTTTTTTTTTCTTAAATAATAATTTACTAGGCAGAAAATAAACTCACAGAATGACTTCATGGGCTGCTGTGTCATTTTCCAACATCTATGTCCCTAAACATAGAGAGATACAAGCCCTATAAATAGAGAATTTCTGAATAATTACTCCTCCTTTTGCTCAGTTCAGTGTACCTTGGTAACTCCAGAGGTATAGTAAGGTCTCTGGAACAGAGTTTAGGAAGAAATATTAAGGAAGTCTACAGAACTTATTACCAGATGCATGAAGTTCTAAAATATAGATCTGGTAAGGACAGAAGAGACAAAAGTTACATCCAGATTTTTTTTTCCACAATTCCGTTAGTGACTTTAGAAACTAATGAAAAGCAAATATAAAATTGTTGTGTTCTTATCTTGAGAAAGTGGTTCCTGGTCAGTGAAAAAGGATCATTTTCACAGGTGGCCGCTCAGATTCTGCGACCCAATTCTACCATACGTGTTCTAATTCCATATAGAGAGGGTACAAAAGGGAAATCAAAGACTTTCATTAATTGTGATAAGTGGGTAAATGGAGAGAATGAAGTATAATAACTACATTACTGAAAAAAACAGATAATGTGTGGCAAAGTATTAGTTTGGGAGAACATGTATGTTAGTTTTGGAGACCCTACAGCAAGATGGAGTGACTATAGGGAAATCATAATAAGGATATATATTGCAGTAGTTGGGTTGGAGGACTTGAGCAGCCTCTGTAAAGCAGTGAAGCTGTGGTAATGATGACACATTCGGAACTATTCATATGTTGGTATTTTGAAGTGTGTGGCAGAGAAAGCAGGAGCCAATGAATGAAGTCTCTACATTTCACAATTGAAAACAAGAAAAACAAAAATATGGAAATCTCATCAGTCTCCTAAAAGGGTAAACTATGAGTCAGGGATAAAATGAAAGCATTTGTTCCTAGCGGGCTTAATGTCTTGGTAGTTTCTCAGGTTTAAAACTTGAAAATTAAAAGCTGAGTTTGAGAATTAATAATCCCAAAGCTTGAGGTGGTATGAGGAAAATTAAGTTTACTCAGGATTCAATATTTAATACTTAAATTTGCTACATATTATTTAATAAGAACAGCTGCTACATCTATTTTGGACCATAAATAAAAATTCATTGAATGGACATCAGGTCTAAATTCACTAAATATATTCTATATCATTGCATAAATTGTCTTCATGTTTACAGCATAAAGGAATTTGTTTGAATGTTTGAATAACAATGTTATTAACTTATTTTATGGGAAATTAGCACTAGAACAAGTTTTTCCTATGAAAAGTGAAGGAAATCTTGGTATTGAAGTAAATTATAGCTCAATTTTATAGATTAAGAAACAATGAAACAAACATGTTTCTGTGTATATGAGCATGTGTATGAGCATGTTTGTGTGTCTTATCTTTTGAATGTTTGAATGCACATAAGATTTGTCATCTGCTCCATGGTGAATCACACTCTGGAGAACAGGGAATTGAAATTGAAATAGAGTAGAATCTACTAATTACTTTCATTATGGTCATATTAGTTTTCTATTGGTACTATAAAAAATAACCACAAATATCATGTTTCAAGACAACATAAACTTACTATTTCATAGTGATGTGGGCCAGGAGGAGACTGGAATGGTTCTTACCAGAAACAATAAAGATAGCAGAGCTGCTCTTTTTTTTAATTTTTTTTTTATTTTTGTTTTCTGGACTTTCTAAAGGAGATTCTATTTCCTGCTCATTGAAGCTGTTGGCAGAACCCAGATTTTTGTGTTTGTAACACTGAGGACCCCACCTTCTTGTAGCCGTTAGCTGAGGGCTATTTCCCACTTTTAGAGGGTGCCATATGCTTTGACACATGGCCTCCTTCCTCCCTCTTTAAATAAAGCAAATGTGAACTAAATCCCTCCCACGCTTTGCATCTCTCCTGCCTCTATTTCCTAACTTGAATCTCTCTGACCTCCCCATTTGCCTTCCTCTCCCACTTATAAGACTTTTTGTGCTTAGATTGAGCCCACCCAGTTAATTCAGGATAAACTTCTCATTTTAAGGCCTGTAACCATAATCACATCTGTACAATTCTTTTGCCCAATAAGGTAACATATTACAGGTTCGGAAGATTGGACGTAGACATCTTTAGGAAGTTATTATAATGCCTATCACAGTGGTCAAAATAAAATTTTTTTGAGCATCTCATAGAGAGGAAGAAAAACTCTAAATAGAGAATTTAGGGTAAATTGTTAACTAATTGGACCTTGGAGTAAGGCACTTGATGCACAGTAAGTCAGATAAAGGCATTTAGGACAATGAATAAGCTTAAACAGAGATTCAGCACCGGAGAATCTGAAAAAACAGTTTAGAAATAGTAGCACCTGGTGTAGTTAAAGACAAAGATTTAGTGAGAGAAGATACTGGAAATTGAGATACAATTGATCCTCAATATTTGCAGATTCCCTATCTGAGAACTTTCTTACTTGCTAAAAATGTATTTGAAACCCCAAAATCAATATTCATAGTGTTTTCCTGATTACTTGCAGACATGCACAAAGCAGCAAAGAATTTGAGTTGAGGGATGCATGCTTTCCCAGCTTAAGGAGAATAAGACTGTGTTCTGTCTTGTTGCTTCAGCTCTCATATATTCATATATGTTGAGAATACTCAACATATTTCTTTTTGGTGGCCTATTCAGTACCACATTTTTCACATTTTTGTGCTTTTTGTTGGTGATTTTACAGTTTAAAATAACCCTAAGCATAGTGTTAAAGTGCTATCTAAGGTTCTTAAGAGCAAGAAGTCTGTGCTGTTCCTTATTTAGGAAATACATGTATTATAGAAGCATTATTCAGGGATGAGTTATAGTCCTATTGATCATGAGTTCAATGCTAATGAATTAACATTATGGTGCATCCAGGAAAAAAAGCAAACATTATTTAATCTATACAGATACCATCCCAAAAAAGTGTTAAATAACACCTGTAGTGTATGATAAAGCTATGGAAAGATGGAAGCATGGCTAAAATTGTCACGAGATGAAAATTAATGGATAGCATTGTTATAAGGCTGAAAGCCAAATAAATTTTGGTCATGTTATCTAGGGTCAGGAAAATGTTAAAACCAGCTCAGCTAAAATGTTAAAAGCCTGCTAAGTTTAAAATGTTAAACTCAGCTCTGGAAAATATTTATGTGGAAGAGTAGGTTTCCAAAGTTGAGGAATGTAGCTTGTTTTACAAGGACATTGGTGAACACATTATATTAGGCAGATGGCCTCCAAAGTCCCTGACTTTGGACTTTGGAATCTCTCAGAGACCAATTTATTACTTTTAAAAATATATTTTAATGTGTCTTCAAATGTAAATACACCAAAAAAGGACTATGATTACAATGTTGTGACCAGAAACGTGCAGGAATGTAACCTGTATTTCTTCTAGGAGCAATGATTGTATATTGACTAATTTAGTATTTGCAGCAACTCTGTAGAACATAATCATTGCAAATAGTAAGAACCAACTGCAGATGATTTCAGCCACCACTGTGAAGAGTTATGAGATTATTCTGCATGAAGTGAAAAACCATTAAATGCTTTTAGAGAGAATAATTATTCTGATCAAATATGGATTTTATAAAAATTATTGAAAATCATTTGAAAATTGTATGCTGTCAGGGTAAAAATCCAGATTTGTGGAAACTGTTAAGAAGCACATCAATTTTCATGGCAATTGATTATAAAGGTTTGACTCAAAGGAATAGGAATTAAAAAGTTTGGATCATTTGTAAAAAATAGTTTGGAAGTAGATTAAACAAAATTGGTCCATTGATTAGCCATGAAGGTGAGGGAGGTGTTGTAGACGACGGTTTACGACATGTTTCCCTCATTAAAGAGATAGTGAGATATAGAATTTCTATGCTATTGTCAAGGATAAAGCTGAGTCAAATTCTTCTCACAAACCCAGCAACTTTATAGATCTTAATCATAATGTAGTGAAAAATTGCTCATTGTGCTAATTTTAATAAAGACTCTCTTCAGTTATCTGATTAAATTTAGCAAAAGGTAGTAAAGGAGAGTGGTTGCTCATGTGTAACATGGAGCCAGCATTGCTGGGTTCGCATCCTTTTCCTGCTACTTACTAGCTGTGTGGTAAATCAATTTCATTATCATGAGAGTCCTAGGCTGTTTTGTGAAGAATTAATAAGTTAATACATAAACCCAGTTAGGTAGTGTCTGGCTCTGGCAAGCTCTTAATAAATGTTAGTTGTATCATTTTAGTGGAAATTTATTTTCACTGATGTCAGGAAGCTATATTACACTTTGAACATAGAGGAGTGAAAGTCAAACTGTTCTGCTGATGAAGGAGACACTACTTTTTCTTTGTGATTTAAAAAAATGTTACATGTTTACTTAACGATGAAAATATATTTTATGGATTAGCTTCACACTTCAAGATGCAAATATGGTGAAGATGAAGGGAAAATGGAAAACATTTATGTTCAATTCATTCTTATTGTAACATGAGTCTTTTGAAAATGTTTTTTCTTAGAAGTTTCTTTTTACCTTATAGTGCTTAAAACCATCTCTGATTGATTGCTTTCTATAAGGATATGTTTAGACCTTATAGAGTATTTTTAAGTATTATATTATATATAGTATATATTACTATACTATATAAAGTACATGATATAACATATATATATATTTGTATTTAATTTTTTCAAAGAATTCCTTGAATTCCCTCTGCCTTATTTCTTAGGATAGTCAATAACTCCCCTATGAAGTCATTCCCTCTCTTCTAAATTGGCCAGTAATAATAAAGTTTTCCATAGTTCAAGTAAAATCAGTCAGACATCTGTGCCTAAGTAAATTACGAATAGACTATACTCTTTACTTCTACGAGATCAACTTTGTAGTTTCCTCATGTGAATGAGAACATGCAGTATCTGTCTTTCCGTGACTGACTTATTTCACTTAACAATGTCCTCCAAGTTAATTCATGTTGCCATGAATGACAGTATTTTGTTATTTTTTATAGCTTTCTTATGGCTGAATAGTACTTTGTTTCGTGTGTGTGTGTGTGTGTGTATATATATATATATATTACATTTTCTTTATCCTTTCATCTGTTGATGGACACTTAGGTTGATTTCCATATCTTGTCTATTGTGAATGGTGCTGCAATAAACATGGGTGTGCAGATGTCTCTTTATTATACTAATTCTATTTTCTTTGGTTATATATACTCAGTAGTGGGATTCCTGGATCTTGTGATAGTTCTATTTTTACTTTTTTGAGGAACCTCTATGCATTTACTGCCAACTAATTTTCATCAGAAGTGCCTAGAACATTCACTGGGGAAAGGACATTCTCTTTAATAAATGGTGATGGAAAAACTGGATATCCATATGCAGAAGTATGAAACTAGATCTCTGTTGCTCAATGTATACAAAAAAATGACTCAATATGAATTCAAGACTAAAATATAAGACCTGAAACTGAATCTACAAGAAATAATTTTTAATTGAAACTGATACCTTCTTTTTAAAAAATTATAGAATCTTTAAATTTTATTTTTTTCTTTAGAACTAAAAACCCTATTAATGTCTTAAATAAAAGACTTCCTTGGCTCTAGTATGAGGGTTGCTACACATGGCACATAGTTGATTCCTTTAAATTACTCCATGTTTGGGAAAGTTATGAAGAACTCTGTAAGGTTTGTTTATCCTTGTCAAGAACTAATTATTTTAGAAACCAAATATAGATTACATAGAGAAATGTTATAAAATCATCTTGGGAACATCTTGAGGATTTGAGAAATCATTCTTCACCCTTATCAGGAAGAATTAGAACATAACACAAGGTAAATATTAAAGTTTCAGGTTGGGAACCAATAAATACCAGAGTATAGCTATTCTGTTCCAACCCTATTTACAATCAAGCATAATATGCTAAATGAGTGCACAGGTTTATAAGTACACAAAAGATGATTAGAAGTAAACTGAATCCATCCAAGATGAGGCTGCACAACATGAGAACCAGATTGAGCTATAGGAACTGAGGCTGGCAGCAAGGAAGTAGAAAAATCACTTCACAAATCTATTCTCTTTACCAAGGCCAGAGGGATCATTATGGAACAAAACTCAGTCTCATGTTCCTCCTTGAAACCATCCAAACGTTCTTCATTGTTTTTAATAAAATGCAAAGTTTCTAACATGTTCCATATGCTACTTTATCCTGCATCTCTGTCTTCTCACCACAAACCCACATGATGTTTACTTTTCCTTTGTTCTTCACACTGAGCTTGCTTCTGTTTAGGGGCTTGGCATTTGCTAATTCCTGTACATGGCATGTAAACTTCAGAACTACTCCCCCTCAAAAAAATATATTTAAAGGTTTACAAAGACAGTATAATCTATGGCAAATAATAGATATATGAGACTGAGCAAAGAAATACTAACAAATGAAAGACTGAGGGACTCATATGTCTGATACAGGAGAAACGGGACTCACATGTCTGATACAGGAGAAACTAGCATAACTATCAATGACTTGTGAATAAATTATAAGTAAAATATAATGGGAAAGGAAAATAATGTTTTATAACAAGTAATGTCTATTAAAATAATTCAAAATAGTATTATATTTTTTGGCATGGGAATATCATCTATAAGACAGTAGAAAAGCTGTTTATGCCTTAACCATAGTTAGTTAATATTGAGCAAACAAGTTTAAGTATTTAAAGTATTTTTTAAAAAGTTATTCTAGTGCTCTACTGAATTACTTCCAAATTTGTGCAAAAAATTACAACTACTTTATTTTAACACAACTTTTAGGGTTACGGATTTCTATAGAAATCAGCTGGGTGATTCTTCTGCTCTGTATGGATTTTACTGAGGCCACTTTTTAGGAGTTAGCTAGTGAATGGTTGGTCTGAAGGGTCCCAGATAATTTCACTGAAAAGTCTAGTTCCTTGGTAGAGACAATTGGAAATCTTGGTGCAACATTAACTATCTACCATAGTGCCTATGTGTGTTCTATCATAATATTCTTAGTAGAGTAAGATTTCTTACGGGGCTGCTTATGACTCCCAGAGACAGAAAGTGGAGCCTGCTAGTTTTTAAATACCAAAGCCCAATAACTAAAATAACATCATTTCCATGTATTCTATTGGGCAGTGCAGGCCTCCTGTCCAGATTCAAAAGGAGAGGAACAAAGATCCCAATTCCCTTTGAAAAGAGAGTTAATGAATTAGTAGCCTTCTTTAATTTGCCCAAGGAGTTTATGTATTCCTGCTGTATTAGCAAGGCAATGCATAGTATAAAGAAAGTGCAGATAGATTTCTAGATTAAAAAGCAATGATATGTGTATATCTCTGGAGGTACACCAAATGATTTATGAAGAAACAAGAGATAATTTTAGAATTTTTATTTTTGCATTAAAAAATTATACATTGATCTCACTAATTTTATGTTTTCCTCTCCAGATGAATTTTGTTTGTGTATATCATGATGATTTCTATTTTAACTTTCATATATATGTTTTACTAAATAATAACATAATTTTGAAATACTTAAATCTTTTTAACCAGTATATTGTGCGTATTTTCTGCAATCTATTTATTTGCTTGATATGTTACTGAGGCTTTTGTGTGTTGACATATGTCACCATAGTTCATTCATTTTAACCATAATGTAGTATTCTGTGATTTAAATATAATTCTACTGTTGATGAACATTTTAAATGTTTTTTATTTTAAAACATTTTTGATTTTTCACAATTGTACGTTGTTACTAACAACATCATTATAAAATCTTTTCCCACCTCTCTGTAAGAGGTTTTTCAATGCAATTTCATCAGGAATTGGAATATAGGTCATAGAGCATAAAGTAACTTCTGCTTTACTGTATAACGTTTCCATTACCTCCAAAATGGTTTTGTCAATGCACTCTCAGCAGTATATGAGGGCTGCAGTTCTTCATTTCTTCAGAAACATTAGGAATTGTCTCAATGTTAAATTGTTGTCAATGACATAGGTGTGAAAAGTCATCTTATTGAGGTTTAAATTTCTATTTTTCTGTATAAATACATTTATGAAAATATTTATCTTTATAAATTGTTTGTATTACATAATAAATATAAATATAATTCATGTTTTAAAAAGTGTACTACTGAGGGAGGCTATGTGGCTATTTGCCCATTTGGGTTTTTTTAAATTCTATGAACGGATATCCTATTGGTATCCATTGTCCATTTTTCTGTTGTTTTATTGTTGTTATTGTCATTTTGATGTATTATTATAAAATTTTTCATTCTAAACAAATATTTTTGATAGTCTTTGTGTAGTTATATGTGTTGCAAAATTACCTAGTAGTCTTTAGTTTGTATTGTCATGACGTCTTTTATTTGTGTGTATGTGTCCATGCACAAAATTACTTAATGGCAATACAGTTGAATTTATCCATCTTGATGATTAATGCTTTCTAAAATTTGTTTGACAAATCCATTTCTACTACAAATTCATTAAGGTATTTTATACACGGTTCTGAAGAAAATTTTATTATTTGTATACTCATTTCCTTTATGTTTTATACCCGAAATGGTTTTGCAAGTTAGGTGTGAGGTAGTAATCTAATTTTATATTTTCCTGTAGATAACCAGCTGCACCAGTATCATTTATTGAACAACAGACTAATTTTGAAACCTCTTCTCTCACATATCAAGTTCCCAGTACAAAGTTGTGCGAGAGAAGTGACAGGGAATACTTTCACATATTTCCTATTCTAAAATAATGTCTTATAATATGTTACCAATAGGTATGACGTGTACAGATTTTTGGTAGATGTCAGTTTTTCCCTTAAATGAATTATTCTCAGTTTTCAGTTTGCTAAAATAGTTTATAAAAGATCATGAGTAAACATTGATTTTCAACAGTTTTTCATATATTGAGTTAATTATGGAGTTATCCTTTTATAATCACTTAATATAATTACATTAATTGATTTCCTATGTTAAATCATCATTGAAATGCTAGAATAACCTGAGTCTTGATATAAATATTGCTTAGCATTGCTAAATTTTGTTTATTAATATTTTGCTTAGAATTTTGCAGTAATTCTCACAAGTGATGTTGCCCTATAATTTTTTTATTTTTATAGAATCCTTGTTGAATGTTGGCATAAAATGACTCAAATGTGAATCTTTTTGTTGTTGTTGTTATTTTAATTTGTTTTAGATCTGGAGGTAAATATGCTGGTTTGATACATGAATATATTGCGTATTGGTGAGGTTTGGGTTTTTAGTGAACCCATCACCCAAATAGTGAGCCTTGTACCAAATAGGCAATTTTTCAACCCTCATCCTGCTCCTCCCTCCCCACGTTAGAGTCCTCAATGTCTTTAATTTACATCTTTATGTCCATGTGTACTCATTCTTTAGTTTCTACTTATAAGTGTGAACATGAGGTATTTGATTTTCTATTTCTCATGTTATTTCATTTAGGATAATGTCCTTCAGCTCCATCCATGTTGCTGCAAAGTACATGATTTTATTATTTTTTTATGACTGCATGGTATTCAATGGTGAATATATACCACATTTTATTTATCCAATCAATCGTTGATGGATACTTTGATTCCAATACATGGCTATTATAAATAGTGCCCTGATAAACTAGTGCAGGTGTCATTTTGATAAAACAATTTCTTTACCTGTAGGTAGATGATACCCAGTAGTGGGATGACTGGGTCAAATGGCAGGAGAATCGCTTGAACTCGGGAGGCAGAAGTTGCAGTGAACCAAGATCACGCCACTGAACTCCAGCCTGGGCAACAAGAGCGAAACTTTATTTGTTATTGTTTTTCTTCTGGTAGTTTTCGGTTTGGTTTATTCTTGTTTCACTGGTTCCTTGAGGTGTGACCTTAGGTTGTTAATTTTACATATATCTATTTTTCGATATAGACATTTAATACTATAAACATTCTTCTTAACATGGCCTTTGATAAATCCCAGAGGTATATTGTGTCTGTATTTTCATTTACTTCAAGAATTTTTTAAATTTCTTTCCCAATTTTATTGTTTACTCAAAAGTCATTTAAGAGCAAGTTGTTTAGTTTTCATGGGCTTCTGTGGTTTTGTTAGTTCTGTGTATCGATTTCTAACTTTATTCCACTATGGTCCAAGAAAGGACTTGATATGATTTTAATTCTGCTTTAAATTTATTGAGACTTGCTTTATGGCCATGTATATGTTCAATTTTAGAGAATATTACATGCACAGATAAGAAAAAAGTATATTCTGCAGTGGTTGGGTGGATGTTTAGTAGATGTCTATTAGGTTCATTTAGTCAGGAGTCTAGATTAAGTCAAGTTTCTTTGTAAGTTTTCTGCTTTGATGATCTATCTAGTGCTGTCAATTAGGTGTTGACGTCTCTATTATTATGTGGCTATCAATCTCTTTTCTTAGGTCTGGTAGTATTTGTAAATTTGGGTGCTCCAGTGTTGGGTGTGTACATATTTAAGACAGTTAAATCTTCTCATTGAATTGTACCCTTTATCATTATATAATGCTTTTTTTCTTGTATTTTATGTTTCTTTTTTTTTTTTAACTGTTGTTGGTTTAAAGTCTGTTTTACCTGACATAAGAATAGCAACTCCTGCACTTTTTTGTTTTCCTTTTGTATGGTATATCTTTCCCTCCTCTTTTCTTTGAGCCTATATATGTCAGGTGGATCCTTTGTAGGCAGCAGATGGTTACATCTTACTTTTTAAATGCAGTTTGTCAATCTGTATATTTTAAATGGAACATTTAGACATTTACATTCAAGCTTAACATTGATATGTGAGGTTTTGTTCCTGTCATAGTGTTGTTGGCTATTTGCTTTGTAGTCTCAATTGTGTAATTGCTTTAGAGGGTCTATGAACTTTGTACTTACGTGTACTTTTATGGTAGCAAGTATCATCCTTTCATTTCCGTGTTCAGACTTCTTTGAACATTTCTTATAGGGCTGATCTAGTGGGGATGAATTCTCTTATCATTTGCTTCTCTGGAAAATAATTTATTTCTCTTTCATTTATGAAGTTTACTTTGGGAAGATACAAAATTCTCAGTTAGTACTTTTTTTTTTTTTTCAGGAAGGCTAAAAATAGGCCCCTAATATTTTCTGGCTTGTAAATTTTCTGTTGAGAAGTTCACAGCTAGCCTGATGGGACTCCCTTTACAGGTGATTTAACTCTTCTCTCTAGCTGCATTTTAGATTTTTGTAAGTTTACAACTGACCTTGACTCTTCTGATGACTATATGACTTTGTGACATTTGCCCCATATAGTATCTCTTAGGTGTTTTCTGAGTTTCTTGTGTCTAGAGGTCTACCTCTCTAGAAAGAGAAGAAAAATATTCTTGAACTTTTTTTCTCAAATATGTTTTCCAAATTTACTTTTTCTTCTTCTCTCTCAGGAATGCCTATAGGTCATTGGTTTGAACACTTTACATAATCTCATTGTCTCACATGCCCGTGTGAGGAGACCACCAAACAGGCTTTGTGTGAGCAATAAGGCTGTTTATTTCACCTGGGTGCAGGTGGGCTGAGTCTGAAAAAGGAATCAGCAAAGGGTGGTGGATTATCATTAGTTCTTATAGGTTTTGGGACAGGCGGTGGAGTTAGGAGCAAGTTTTGCGGGTAGGGGGTGGATCTCACAAAGTACATTTTCAAGGGTGGGAAGAATTACAAAGAACCTTCTTAAGGGTAGGGGAGATTACAAAGTACATTGATCAGTTGTGGGGGGCAGAAACAAATCACAATGGTGGAACGTCATCATTTAAGGCTATTTTCACTTATTTTGTGGATCTTCACTTGCTTCAGGCCATCTGGATGTATACATGCAGGTCACAGGGGATATGATGGCTTAGCTTGGTCTCAGAGGCCTGGCATTCCTGTCTTCTTATATTAATAAGAAAAATAACGTAAAATAGTATTTAAGTGTTGGGGCAGGGAAAAATTTTTGGGGGTGGTATGGAGAGGGATTAGGGGCAGCGTGGGAACAAAGAATGGGAGAGGTTAAGGTGAAGGAAGATTTTGTGGTAAAGGGTGATATTGTGGGGTTGTTAGAAGGAGCATTTGTCATATAGAATTATTGATGATGGCCTGGATGTGGTTTTGTATGGATTGAGAAATTAAACGAAAGACACAAGGTCCAAATAAGAGAAGGAGAAAAACAGGTATTAAAGGACTATGAATTGGGAGTACCCAGGACATCCAATTACAGAGTGTCAAAGGGGGTTCGGCGTAATTAGTTGCTTGGTTGGCGAGTTTTTGGGCTCTATCCTTGAGTTTTTTTATGTTGTCATATACCAGGCCAGATTGATTTAGGTAAAAACAACACTCTTCATTTAAAAATATACAGAGTTCCCCCCCTTTTTTTTTTTAGCAGTGAGTAAGTCAGGGCCTCAGTGATTTTGGAGGAAAGAGAAATGCAAAGCCAGCAATTGTTTGTTAAAGAAGGATTAGAAACAGCTAGGAGAGAGTGACTGAGATTGACAGTGTGGTAGAGATAGCTGGGGAGAGGTAGAGGGTGGCATAAGAACAGGAACAAGAATAAGAGTAAGTATAAAAGTAAAGAATAGGACTTCATCAGGGTGAAAGTATTGGAGGGTACCTTGTCAATGAAGATCTTCTATCCACTTAAAGAGAGACTTAAGGGTGGCAGTTTGAGGTAAAACCAGGCACTACTGAATATCAAGAGCCTGAGAAACTGCTTGCGTGATTTGACTAGTAAAGGCTGGTCTGTTATCAGACTGTATAGAGGTGGGAAGGCTGAACCGAGGAATTATGTCTGACAGAAGGGAAGAAATGACCACAGTGGCGTTCTCAGACCCTGTGGGAAAGGCCTCTACCTATCCAGTGAAAGTGTCTACCCAGACCAAGAGGTATTTTAGTTTCCTGACTTGGGGCACGTGAGTAAAGTCAATTCACCAGTCCTGGGCCAGGGCAAATCCCCGAGCTTGGTGTGTAGGGAAGGGAGGGGGCCTGAACACTCCCTGAGGAGTAGTAGAATAGCAGAAGGAACACTGAGAAGTGATTTCCTTGAGGATAGATTTCCACGATGGAAAGGAAATGAGACGTTCTAAGAGGTGGGCTAGCGGCTTGTAACCTACATGGAAGAGGTTAGGAAATGACAGCAGAATAGAATGGGCCTGTGAGGCTGGAAGGAGATCCTTGGTTCAAGGACTATTTGCCTTGTGTGGGAAAGGACTGATAGGTGGAAGTTTCAGTGGGGAGTAGATGGGAGTGACCAGATGAGAAGGAGAAAAACTGCCGTGAAGGATAGAAGTTGGAAAGCTAGCTGCTTTTTAAGCTACTTATCAGCATAAGCATTGCCCTGAGTGATGGGATCTGATGCCTTTTGATGGCCCTTGCAGTGAATGACTCCAGCTTCCTTTGTAAGTAAAGCGGCCTTGAGAAGAGTTTTTATTAAAGAGGGATTGATGATGGAGGACCCTTGTGTAGTGAGGAAACCTCTTTTTGCCCATATAACAACATGGTTGTGCAGGATATGGAAAGCATATTTAGAGTCAGCATAAATATTGGCATGTAATTCCTTTGCAAGAGTGAGGGCTTGAGTTAAGGCAATGAGTTCAGCTTGCTGAGAGGTAGTGGAGTGGGGCAGAGCTGTAGCCTGAATGATAGATGTGGAAGATACTATAGCATAGCCTGCCTTTGCTGGTGAGTGGTGATTAGGCCTGGTGGAACTGCCATCAATAAACCAAGTGTGTTCAGGGTGAGGAACAGGAAAGGAAATATGGGGAAATGGGGTGAATGTCAGGTGGATCAGAGAGGTAGTCATAGGGGTCAGGTGTGGTGTCCGGAATAATGTGGGAGGATGGATTGATTTCCGGGCCAGGAACAATGGTAATTGTGGGAAACTCAACAAACAGTGAGTATAGCTGAAGGAGCTGGAAGGCAGAAAATATATGTGTCAGGTGTGAGGAAGAAAATGGATTTTGAAAGTTACGAGAACCGTAGAGAATGAATTGAGCATAGTTTGTGATTTTGAGGGCCTGTAAAAGTATTAGGGCAGCAGCAGCAACCGCATGCAGATGTCAGGGCTAGGCTAAAACAGTAAGGCCAAGTTGTTTGGACAGAAAGGCTACAGGGTGTGGTCCTGGCTCTTGTGTAAGAACTCCGACCACACAGCCCTGCACTTTGGCTGTGTGTAATGAAAAGTGTTGGGATGAGTTAGGGAAAGATAGTGTGGGGGCAGCTTCTAGGGCTGTTTTTAAGGAACAGAAAGAGGAGTGGCAAAAGGATTTAGGATCTATGGGGTCAGCTAGGTTTGGTTTTGTGAGTTTATGTAATGGTTTTGTCAGGATGGCAAAACCAGGTATCTAAAGGTGAAAGTATCCTACCATGCCCAGGAAGAAAAGGAGTTGTTGTTTTGTAGAAGGGATTGGGGTTTGGGAGACTAGCCAGACACACTCAGCAGGGAAAGCATGTGTTTTCATGAAGAGTTATGTCGAGATAAGTTATGTATGAGGAAGAAATTTGGGCTTGACTGAAGTAATGGGGGCTGTCCGTGAAGCCTTGAGGCAGTACAGCCCAGATAATTTGCTGAGCCTGATGGGTGTCAGGGTCAGTCCAAGTGAGAGCAAAGAGAGGCTGGGATGAAGGGTGCAAGGAATAGTAAAGAAAGCATGTTTGAGATCCAGAACAGAATAATGGGTTGTGGAGGGAGGTATTTAGGGTAGGAGAGTATATGGGTTTGGCACCATGGGGTGGATAGGCAAAATAATTTGGTTGATAAGGCGCAGATCCCTAACTAACCTGTAAGACTTGTCTGGTTTTTGGACATGTAAAATGGGGAAATTGTAAGGAGAGTTTATAGGCTTTAAAAGACCACACTGTAACAGGCAAGTGATAACAGGCTTTAATCCTTTTAAGCATGCTGTGGGATGGGATATTGGCATTGAGTGGGGTAAGGGTGATTAGATTTTAATGGGATGGTTAGGGGTGCATCATTTGTCACCAAGGAGGGAGTAGAGGTATCCTATACTTGTGGATTAAGGTGGGGAGATACAAGGAGAGGATGTGAAGGAGGCTTTGAACTGGGGCAAAAGGTGGCAATGAGGTGTGGCTGTAGCCCAGGAATAGCCAGGGAAGTAGATAATTTAGTTAAAATGTCTCGACCTAATAAGGGAGCTGGGCAGGTGGGGATAACTAAAAAAGAGTGCATAAAAGAATGTTGTCCAAGTTGGCACCAGAGTGGGGGAGTTTTAAGGGGTTTAAATACCCCTTAAATACCCTTCAATACCCACAACAGTTATGGAGGCAAAGGAAACAGGCCCTTGAAAAGAAGGTAATGTGGAGTGAGTAGACTTTGTATTGATTAAGAAGGGGACGGACTTACCTTCTACTGTAAGAGTTACCTAAAGCATCTGTGATGGTCCAGGATGCTTCTGAGGCAATCAGGCAGCATCAGTCTTCAGCTGCTGAGCTCAGAAGATCTGGGAAGGAGTCAATCAGAGAGCCTTGGGCCAGAGTTCCAGGGGCTCTGGAAGTGGTGGCCAGGTGAGTTGAACAGTCCAATTTTCACTGGGGTCCTGTACAGATGGGACATGGCTTAGGAGGAATCCCAGGCTGTGGGCATTCCTTGGCCCAGTGGCCAGATTTCCAGCACTTGTAGCAAGCTCCTGGGAGAGGAGGTTCTGGATGAATCCCTGGCAGCTGTGGTTCAGGCGTCTGGAGTTCTTGTGTGCTGGAGATGTGGTTGGGGTTTGTCTCACAGTGGAGGCAAGGACTTGCAACTCAGAAATACATTGCTACTTGGCTGCCTCTACTCTATTATTGTACACCTTGAAGGTGAGGTTAATTAAGTCCTGTTGTAGGGTTTGAGGGATGGAATTTAATTTTTGGAGCTTTATTTAATGTCAGGAGCAGATTGGATAATAAAATAAAATGCATATTGTGAATAAGACGGACTTCTGGCCTTTCAGGGTCTAGGGCTGTAAAGCGTCTCAGGGTTGCTGCCAGACGGGCCATGAACTGGGCTGGGTTTTTTATATTTGATGAAAAAGAGCCTAAACGCTAACTGATTTGGGAGAGGTCAGATAAAGAAAAAGGAGCATTAACCTTTACTATGCCTTTAGCTCCAGCCACCTTTTTAAGAGGAAATTGCTGGGTAGGTGGGGGAGGGCTAGTTGCCAAACAAAACTGTAAGCCGGACCAGCTGTGAGGAGGGGAGGTGATAAAAGGATTACAGGGTTGGGCAGCGGAGGCTGAGGAAAAATTGGGACCTAGCTCAGCCTGGTGAGGAGCAGCCTAGGGAGGAGGGGAGAGGTCAGATGGGTCCATAGAAAAGGAAGATTCAAAGGACTCAGAGATGCTTGGGGTTGGGACTGAAGGGACAGGCGGGAGGGAAAGAAGCAAGATTTGGGACGAGTTGCATTGGGAACAGAGACTAGGGAGGGACCAATGTGTAAAAGAATGCCTGGTCATCAGGCATGTCAGACTGCCCATTTCATGACAAGAATTACTTAGATCTTGTAGGATGGAAAAATCAAAAGTGCCATTTTATGGCTATTTGGCACCACTGTCGAGTTTGTATTGGGGTAAAGCGGCATTGCAGAAGAAAATAAGGCATTTAGGTTTTAGGTCAGGTGTGAGTTGAAGAGGTTTTAAGTTCTTGAGAACACAGGCTAAGGCAGAAGAAGGAGGAATGGAGGGTGGAAATTTGCCTGTAGTGTAAGAGGCAAGTTTAAAGAGAAGGGTAGAGACATGGAGAGAAGGGGTGGGGGAGGCTTGCCCCTCAGGAAAGTGGAGAAGAGGTGGGAGGTGCTTGCCCTCCAGGAAAGTGGAAATGGGGGGGAGGTGCCTGCCCCCCCAGAAAGTGGAAATGGGGTGGGAGATGCTTGCCCCCCAGAAGAGCAGAAAAGGGGTGGGAGGTGCTTGCCCCCCAGGAGAGTGGAAAAGAGGTGGCAGGTGCTTTCCCCCCAGGAGAGTGGAAAAGGGGTGGGAGGTGTTTTCCCCCCAGGAAAGTGGAAAAGGCGTGGGAGGTGCTTGCCCCCCAGTAAAGTGGAAATGGGGTGGGAGGTGCTTGCCCCCCAGGAAAGTAGAAATGGGGTGGGAGGTACTTGCCCCCCAGTAAAGTGGAAACGGGGTGGGAGGTGCTTGCCCCCTGGGAAAGTAGAAAAGGGGTGGAGACATGGAGAGAAGGGGTGGGGGGTGCTTGCCCCCCAGGAAAGTGGAGAAGGGGTGGGAGGTGCTTGCTCCCCAGGAAAGTGGAAATGGGGTGGGAGGTGCTTGCCCCCCAGGAAAGTGGAAAAGGGGCAGAGACACAGAGAGAAGGAGTGGGGGGTGCTTGCCCCCCAGGAAAGTGGAAAAGGGGTGGGAGGTGCTTACCCCCCAGGAAAGTGAAAAAGGGGTAGAGACACGGAGAGAAGGGGTGGGGAGCAGCCCTCGGCTGCAATGTGGGTGAGCAGCCAAAGCAGGTGTCCCCACAATTGACTTGCTACCAAGGGAATGTGGGTGAATGACCAAAGCAAGTGTCCCCGTGGAGATCAGACACCAATGGAATGTGGGTGAATAATTAGGCAGGCTACACAATGATTAAACACTAATGGAAGGCTGCCTTCCTGAGTCTGTGACCGGCACCAGAGTTTTGGGTCCACTGATAAAATGTGTCTCCTTTGTGTCTACCATAAAATGAAAGGAATTGAAATTAATTGAAATTAATACACATATTAGTATATATACATGTAATATAGTAATACATACTGTATTACACACTGTATACATACTGTTTTACTTCAACTATATTTATTATATAGTGACTATATTACTATATCTCATATATAACTATGTAACAGATGTTACATAGTTAATAGAGAATGTATAGTAACATAGTTTCTGTAAAATAAATATCTAATCTTATTTATACATCTAAATATATAATATAATATTTATATAACATATATATATTCATTATATATAATAAATATACATAGTAAAAGGCTAAACAGCATGTAGCCTTTTCAGATGGTTCTTCTTTCACTTAGTAATATGCATTTAAGATTCCTTCATGTCTTTTCATGGATTAGTAGCTCATACCTTTTAATGCTGAATAATATTCTATATTCTGGATGTACCAGTTTACTTATCCGTTCATCTACTAAAGGACATCTTGGTGGTTTCAAGTTTTGGCAATTATGAATAAAGTATCTACAAATATCTGTATGTAAGTTTTTGTGTGGTTTTAAATTTTCAATTCATTTGGGATAAATATGAAGAACATTAGCTGAATTGTATGTTTAGTTTTTAAATAAATTGACAAACTATCTTCTAAAGTGACTGCATCATTTTGCATTTCTATCAGTAATGCATGAGAGTTTTTGCTACTTCACATCCTTGCTAGCATTTGTTGTTGTTAGTGTGTTGGATTTTCCTTGTTTTTTTGTTTTGTTTTGTTTTGAGACAGAGTTTCTCTCTTGGTGCCCAGGCTGCAGTGCAATGGTGCAATCTCAGCTCACTGCAACCTCCACCGCCTGGGTTCAAGCGATTCTCCTGCCTCAGCCTCCCAAGTAGCTGAGATTACAGGCATGCGCCACTATGACCGGCTAATTTTTCTATTTTTAGTAGAGACAGGGTTTCTCCATATTGGCCAGGCTGGTCTCGAACTCCTGACCTCAGGTGATCCACCCACCTTGGCCTCTCAAAGTGCTGGGATTACAGGGGTGAGCTACTGTGCCCCGCCTCATTCTTTTTTAATTTGCTGTTCTCTGATGATTTATGATTTTAAGGATATTTTTCCATTCTTATTTTCCATCTGTACATCTTCTCTGTTAAGGCATCCGTTCAGCTTTTTTTTCCATTTTAAGGTGGGGTTTTCACTTTCTTGTTGAGTTTGAGTTCTATGTATATTTTGAATAACAGTTCTTTATCAGTTATGTGTGTTGCAAACATTTTCTCCTAATGTATGTCTTGTCTTCTCATTCTGTTGACATCTTTTACAGCACACAAGTTTTTTATTTTAGTGAAAGTTTAGCTTATCAATTATTTTGTTCATTTATCATGCATTCAACATTGCATCTAAAAAGTTATCACCATACCCAAGATAATCTAGATTTTCTTCTGTGGGTTATTGTCTAGGAATTTTATAGGTTTTCATTTAACATTTACTTCCATTTCAAGTTAATTTTTGTAGAGGGTGTGAGGCCTGTATCTAGATGTATTTTTTGGCATGGGATGCCCAGTTTTTCCAGCACCATTTGTTGAAGAGACTGCCTTTTCCCCATTGTGTTGCATTTGCTCAACACAATGTGAAAATTAAAATTAGTTGATTGTATTTATGAATGCCTATTTTTGGGCTCTCTATTCTATTATATTGCATTTTTTCACCAATTCCACACTGCACAAACTACTGTAGTTTTATAGTAAGTCTTGAAGATGAGTGGTGTCAGTCCTACAATTTTGTTCTTAAATACTGAGCTTATCATTCTGAGTCTTTTGCCTCTCCCTATAAAATTTAGACTTGATTTATTAATATTCCCAAAGTAACATGCTGAGATTTTGATTGGGATTACATTACATTACATTTATAGATCAAGTTGGTAAGAACTGACATCTTGACAACATTGAATCTTTCTATGCATGTACATAAAATATTTCTCCATTTATTTAGTTTTCTTAAAATTTCTTTCATCAGAAGTTTGTAATTTTCTTCATATAGATCTTGCACATATTTTGTTAAATGTATACATAAGTATTTAATTTTGGGGTTCCTAATACAAATGGTAATGTTTTTTAAATTTCAAATTCCACTTGTTTATATCTGGTATATAGAAAAGCAATTGATTTTTGCATACTAACCTTGTATTGTGCAATAGTGCTATAATATTAGTTCCAGGACTTTTTTTTAATGTTGATTCTTCCAGATCTTCTATATATAAATGGTCATGCCATCTGTGAAGAGATACAATTTTATTTTGTTTTTCACAGTCTGTATACCTTTTCTTTTCTTGTCTTACTGTATTATCTAGGACTTCTAGTATGATATTGAAAAGCAATGATGAGAAAAGGCATCCTTACCTTGTTTCTGATCTTAGCAGGAAAGCTTTTAGTTTCTCAGCATTTAGCATGATGTTGACTTTAAGTGTTTTATAGATATTCTTTATTAAATCAAGGACATTCCTTTCTATTTCAGGTTTTCAAAGAGTTTTTATCATGAATGAGCAGGATTTTGTCAAATGCTCTTTCTGCATCTATTAATATGATCATGTGATTTTTTTCACTCTTGTTATTTAGCAAAAAGATATGAAAAATTACATAGTTTACTTTTGAATGTTTAACTTGTCATGAATATTTGGAATAAAACCTATTTAATCATAGTGTATAATTATTCTTATAGATTGTTGGATTCAATCTGTTATTTTTGAGGATTTTTGCATCTATACTTATGAGAGATATAGGATTTTAGTTTTTTTTTTCTTTTGATATCTTTATCTGACTTTGGTTATTAGGGTGATACTGGCTTCATAAAATGAGTCAGGAAACATTCCCTTTGCTTATATCTCTTAGATGTAAAGTATTGGTGTAAATTTGTACTGAAATATTTGGTAGAATTCATAAGTGAATCTACCTTGGCATGACGTTTCCTGGTTTGGAAGGTTTTTAAATATTGGTTCAATGTATTTAATAAATATAGGCCTATTCAGATTGTGTCTTTTTGTGTAAGTTTTTCAAAATTTAATTTTTCAAGGTATCAGTCTATTCATCTAGGTTGCCACATCCCTGGGCACAGAGTTGTTCATAATATTCCTTTATTATCCCTTTAATGTTTGTAGAATAAATAATAATGCCCTTTCCTTTATATCTGGTAACAGTTTGTGTTTTCCTTTTTTATCTCAGTTAGCCTGTCTAGAGGCTTATTTATTTTTATTGACATTTTCAAAGAACCAGCCTTTGGTTGTGTTGATTTTCTCTATTAGTTTACGGTTTTCAATTCACTAATTTCTGCTGTAATTTTTATTTTTATTTTTTTCTTTCTGCTTACTTTCTTTCTCTCTCTCTCTCTCTTCCACTCTCCCACCCTCAGTTTCCTAGGGTGAAAGCTTAGATCATTAATTTTAGATGTTTCTTCTTTTCTAATATATGCATTCAATGCTATGAATTTTCCTCTAAGCACTGCTTTCACAGTACCTCACAAATTTTGATGTTTTAATTTAGTTCGAAGTATATTTAAATTGTTCTTGAGATTTCTTTTTTGACCGGTGTATTTATCAGTTTGTTGCTTAGTCTCTAAGTATTTTGCATTTTCTAGCTATCTTTCTCTAATTTATTTTCTAAAACAATCACTGGAACTCTATACATGTATAACTCCCTGACAGTAGATGATTCTTTGGACTAAAGCTCACTATCTTTATTTTAGAAAAGATGTAATCTTAAATAAATAGTTTTAAGGATTCTTCCTGGGTAATGTGCTATAGTTTACTTGAATATTGTCTTTGGATTTTGAAGCCTTTCTGTATATTATATGAGTTAATGTCTACAAACTCAAAATAGAATTTCCCGATTGCATTAGACAAATTTCTAAACAAGCAAAAACCAATCTTTTTTTTAATTAACCATTTTTGACTGTGCTTGATGTAAGTAGGTTATATATTTAAGATATTTCTTGGTGAGTTAAAAGAAGGGAACTAACTTCCTAATCATCATAGCTCAAATAACAGTCGTAATTTTCTCAATCTGTATTACTGATGCCTATCTCTAATAACTGTATTTATACAGTTTAGGTGCCAATTAATATTTATACAGTTTAGGTGCCAATTAATATTTCAAAATTTTTAAAAAGTGAAATGAATCATTTAATTAGTATTCACAAACTTTTTAAAATACAAATTGCCAGATTTTATAGTGTCTTTAAACTTAAACTTTGAATCCTTTCTCCACAAATTGTTGTCCTTCTAGTATTTTCTCCACAAATTATTGTTCCTTCTCACATACCTGTAGATCACTGCCATTTTTTTATACAGTACTGTAGATTTTCTTGCCCCGTTGAGAAAATTAAGGACTAATTCCATATTTTATACCCAGTCACTGTGAATAATGTATCCCATTTACTTCATTTTCAGCTTTTTTGGAGGCACATCGTTCATACACAATAATTTTTGTGCATGTACTATGTACCAGATATTATATTAGAAGCTTCTATGTCATGGCAGGCAAAGTCTCTGTCCTCATGGAGCCTATAGTCCAGTAGGGAAGATAATCAGCAAATATTGTAATTTCAATAATGCTTATTGGATTTGATGATTAATCCAAAATTAATATGCTCCCCAAACATGTCCTCTTGTTTTTCACTGGTCTTGGCAGGAATGCCTTCTTTCTTGACAAATACTCTTTGCTGCATTTGCAATTTAAGTCCTATATTGCATTAAAATTCTAGCTCAGACTGAACTTCCTCCATTAGTTATTTCCAAATTTCCACAGAAGAGAATCAATCATCCACACTCCTGTTCCTGCATTATAAATCATATTATATATTACCACACTAAGTATCATATATTTGTCTTCCCTCCCAGAACTTTCCCTCTAGATCATTCTTAACTGAATTCAACATGCGAATCACATGTGGGCTTTAAAAATGTCAATGTCTGTCCCAATGGTCTGCTGGTAAATGTTTAAAAACTAGCTCCTATGGGAAGGAGAATGGAAGGGGGGAATCTCTGATTTGTAGCATTTGTAGATTTCTGTAGTTTAAATGCTCCCACCACGGCTTATTTCAGCCTATCAAAAGGACACCCCTGAACATGGAGCAGAGAAGAGATCTGCAGTAGCAACCATTGCATTGTATTTTAAGCAAATTCTTAAGCCCACCTCAGACCTATTGACTCAGAAACTGTGGGAGTGGGGCACAGTGATTCATGTATTAACAAACTTTCCAGGTGATTCTGATGCATGCTAAAGCTTCAGAACCACTTATCCAACATAATACCTGGCATGTAATAGAATCTTAATGCATATATTTCGAGTTTGCTTGCATCAATGATAATGTAACCAGTTTCGTAAACATCATTTTATTTACACTAACCCCCTTATCCTATCTGATCTTATGCTTTAGACAATAATAAAGAAAGTGATTTAAATAAAAATAATGTATGAATGATCATGGGATGGAAAGTGAATATTATTCTAGAGCTTAAATTACTCAAAGGAAAAAAATCTGCACTAAGTTCAAATTGTAGCTGTGGAAAATCTGCATTGTGTGAGGTCAAATACTCTGGCCAAAGAGCAAACAAAGTCTCCTCAGTATAGAGTCACATGCAAAGTGAACTAAAAAACAAAAGACAAAGAATATGCCAATATCTCAGCTTATATTTTCTCACAACTGTGACCCTAGGTTTTTGGTAAGCTGAGAAAAATTTTATTATTCTGTCTTACCTCTCCTTGATAATTTACTAGCATAAATATTCACAATCAAGCATTGAGAAAAGAACAAGAAAATCCTTGTATTTTTTCAACAGTTGTTGAAAAAAGATATGCCATTTAAATAATGTTATATGTAACTTGATTAGTCAGTAAATCTTTGTTGTGAGAGAGCATGCTAACAGAGCAGAAGAGAAAGTAAAAGTATCAGTCTAATCAGACAGCTTTTTATGTCCTTTCCTCAAACTGAAGCTGTCTACTCTTGTGCCCCATTGGCATTTTAAGTTTTATATTGACATTTAGTAAACTGCCCTTTGTATATTTGCCTTACCTTAACCACTAGACTTATTTAATTCAAAATTTCTGGTTTCCTCATAGAAATGCATTTCCAATAATCTTTACCCACTTAGTGTGGAATAAAAATCGAATCTCTCCACAGCCAGTGCAGTTATGTGTCTTTAAGCTGCTTCTTCCCAAACACACACACACACACACACTCTCACTCACACACACTCACACTTACTCTCACACACACACACTCAAAACCACCAGCATCAACTCCACTGTAGCCACAACGCAGCATCAGAATGCTTTCTTTCTTGTTGTCTTTGGGTTATTTAGATTCCACTTTGGTGAAATTACTATTTTTAGCTTGCCAGTTGAGCTCATTGATAATTAACTCTGGCTATATTAGAATCGCCTTGAGAAGTGGCTTCAAGTGTCAAAAACCAATGTTTGAGCTGCACATGAATCAAATAAATAACAATATCTGAAGGTGAGAACAAGGCATGTGTATCTGTTATGTGTATGATGAATATTTGCAGCCTTCCTTGAGAACCACTGTATGCATGGCATACCTGAACAGGAATGTCATTCTACTCAGCTGGACAGCCTGAGCTGGGCACCAATGCTGACATACCAAAAGGAAATTGAATCCACCTGTGTGAAGAATGCCTCCTTAAAAGCTGAGTGGATCCCTTTAGCTTGGGGTACTGCAATGCCAACTAAAACATTAGTTTATAATGTATAAACCAACACTGTGAAAGTAGTTATTTCTATTTTATTGTAAAGTTGACTAAATCAGATTCTAGGTAGTCAAGAAAATATGGAAAATCCAAATAAAAACACTCAAAATGTGTCATTGTTTTCTCTCTCATCAGTGATATAGTAATAAAACTGGCATCCTGGGTTGGGAATTCTACTCCTCTGTACATCTGCTTTCCAGTGGACGTTGGTCTCCTTAGGATATCTTATAACCCTTGAAGAAGAACCTTCATCCCAAGCTCAAAAAAAGCCTAAAAGTAATTCACTTACCCCAATCTCTTACCCAACTGGATGTTTACACAGGAAATCTCTGATTCATTCATAAGACCTAAACTAAAATTACGACGTCCAGATTGCAATAGACAAAGAAGGACAAAGTCTATCTATTTTCTACTTTTCTCAGCTTGGTTCCAAGTCAGCATACCTCAGGATATATTTTCTACTAACAGATACAAAGTAGTTACTCATCTTGCATAGTGGTTTCTTTGACTTAACTCCTCTGATTCTTGATTTCCTTATCTTAATGTACCAATAGTAACATCTAAGTCACTAAGAATTTTGTAAGGATTAAATTAGATGATGATGAATACTACCCAATAAGTGATGACTATTGGTTGGAGAAAATATGGTCATAGAGAAGTATCAGGAAATAGAGACAGCTCACAATAAACTAACAGAAAGACACAAGACAGATAGTAGTCTTCTCTAGTATATGTGATATCTGGACTCCTCAATTTGATATTCGTATAAAGGACAAGATGAATTATTTCCTCTTGTATAGAAGAACAGCAACCCCCTCTGCTCACTCACACACACTCACCATCGCAGTGAAGCCAAAACACTAAATACTGTCATTTCAAGATGGTCAGTGAGGACAGGTGCCAGTTAAGTAGTCAGAGGTGGTGGGATGCCTTAAAAACTTTTTTGCAGAACTTCCCAGAATAATTTTAACAAATAGTATCCACTGTAATACACGTTGAAAGCATCGTGTGCTCCTTCATTGAGTGTTTTCCAGTTGTAAGTTAAATAATTAATTGCTTAATTATTTGTGCAATTTGGTGTTCCCTAGATTCTAATATGTCTGAGGGCAGGGATTTTTGTCTGTCTTATTTATTGCCGTAACCCCTGTGCCTGACACTTAGCAGTTCAGTAAGTGTGATGAAGAAAATAATTTTGAAACCCTTCCACAACTTTTTCTTTTTTTCAGGATATATTCTATTATAATAGTGTTTAAATATTTAATTTTAATTTTATTTAGTTTTCTTGATCAAGAATGACTAGGGGAGTGTTATTGTTGTGGTGGTGGTGAATTGATTTTTTTTAATTGCTATTTCAGAAGTCTGTGTATATTCTGGAGGTACAAGTTTCCTAACTGCCTCTGCTAAGTGCATCTCTTAAAATGCTATCACAATATGACCTTATAAAAGTGTACTCCTGGGAATGAATATTTTCTTTGACTACAGTTGGGAAAATATGATCTCTTAGCTTCATTACTATTTGTAAGCACCCCCACCCCCAACTTTAGGTGAAGACATTTACTCTATGGGTGTTTGCTCGGTTCCATGGTAAAATCCCCTTTCATTTTTCTTCTGCATGCCAACCTCTACTCTAGGTAGCCATTAAGAGCTAGTTGCTTCCTCACTGGATAATGGTTATTTTAGTATTCTTGTGAAGGTAGCTGTTTTCAAAAACTAAAGGTTTGTATCAAAACAACTTAATCCATGATTGTAGACAGCTTACATGTTCTTTTTGACCAGCCACCTCACATACATTTGACTATTATTTATGACTTTTCCTTTATAAATTTTTGAAACAAACTTTATTTTTAGGCCTGTTGAGAAGCTTTATTTCCTCAAGAACACTTTAATTCTCTTGAAATACTAGAATTTCAAGCATTAAAATATAACAAAATAACTTTATTACGTTTCTCAGTGTCAAGTTTTGGCCACATAAGTATAGGAAACAAAACATTTGCTGAGGGTAATATTGCTTTGGGAAGCACCTTTAGCCATGAATAATGTACATAAAACTGTTATTTTGCTGAACTGTAAAATAGTGGATGAATATTCACTATTTATTTTGTTAATATCACAAAATGGTATTAACCTACAGATGTCTGAACAAGATAATTCTAAATTCTTTCAACCATCATCTTTTACAGATTAGCAATGTGACTTTATGTAGTCCATCAGAATATATCGTGGATCCAAAGTAAGTTCTAGAAAATGTTACTGTATAATTTTTTCAAACCCCATATACTTCAAGGGAAAATATCTTTACTACTGAATATACTGAAATAGTATTTCTATTCCATTCTTCATAGGATTTCATATTTGTTGTACATGTATTCCCTGAGCATGAGACAGTATCTACCCAAAGTAGAATAATTATTCCTCCTTATGGAGAAATGATCTAAGAAAATCTCTGGGGATTTTTCTAAGTAAGTGCTATTTTTTCAACCACAACTAGAAAAATATATTATGCAATCGGCTATTTTCATATAATTTGCACAACACTTAAAATAAATAGGACAAGTTGAAAGCTGCCACTTGCCTTGGGAAATCAGGACATTTAAAGAGCTTAGTGAACCTCTGGCATAATTTCGTGTTATTTTTTAGTTCTCTATAAGAGGAGTAAATTTCATAAGTCCCCTTTCTTTCACAGTACTACTATTTTTCTAACATTTCAATTTCAGTGAAAACTTTGATTTTTTCATATATGCAATTATATTTCTAATAAAAATGTAGCTTCTGGGGAAGCAAGTGCCTAGATCACAGAGGTTCTTGAAGGCCATGGTAAAATAAATCTCAGAAGACATGATACTTAAAAAATTTAACATGTTATTCACATATATTATATGATATATAGGATGATTACCATTAGAAGATTATGCATTATATAATTGGAACTCTAAGTTAATTTGCAGTAATTCATGTTTATTGAAATGGGAGGAAAAAATCTGTCTTCTGGGTGGGGGAAAGAGAGCACTTCTGAAGCTGCAGGTACCTCCATCTCTTTGTTGTGTATGCAATATTCATCCTGCTCTTAAATACAGAAAAGAAAAGTTACTAATACAATTGATCAGAGTCAATAGTGCCAATTGAGCCACAATTATTGACTTGCATTTTGTCTATGAATATACTATTATTTTGCATTTGAAAATGCTACCTTGAATTCAAGTCAGCCCCTGGTTCTGTTTTTTGTTTGTTTGTTTGTTTGTTTTTGTGTTCATTGTTTTTGTGTCCATGAAGCTTCAGTCATCACATTGACTTGTCTTCTCAGTGCACCTATCATTATGGGCTCTTCATCACTCTGCCTCCTCTGGTACTCAGAAATAATCAGAAGAAAGGATGGTCTTAAAGGTCTCGTTTTGAGGAAGAAAGTGGCATTTATACTTTGAGACAAGGTTTCCATGGGGAGACAATGGGAAGATCTTGCTTCTCTATTGTACATCACACATGTGGACTCATGACAGTGGGCCAAAGTGGAGTTCAAACAATCTGTGCGCTGCCCTGGCAACTATACCATTTTAATCTCATAAGAGCCCTCTCTAACATTTACTCATTGTGTAAATTATTTTGAGGGTTTTGAGGAAAGGATTAATGACTAAGACAAAGTCCCTTTCTTCAAAAAGTTTTCAATCATTTCCTTCCTCCCTCCTTTCTTTTCTTCCTTCTTTCCTTGCTTTTTTATTTTCAGTATAGCAGGAAATGAAAGCATGAAGAAAACCATTAAAAATATACCTATGTTAGAATGTGATGAGTATTAGAGGAGAGGTACAGAAAATTTTCAATGACTACTTATATGAAGAAGAGAATCCCATGGTATGGAAAGAAGAACAGAGGTTTTGAAAGAGAAAGTTTTTTTTCCTAAGTTGCATAAATTTCTGGCCAGTCCTCATGGCAGGGTAGTATTCTGTAGTGAAAAACATGATATGTAAAACCGTGGGAGCAAGAAAGAGAAGAGGTTCAAATTCTTTAGAGGAAGTCCTACATGAATTAACAAACCATTAGGATACAAATTCTTTTAAAGATAACATAGGAAAACTCAGGATCAGACAATGAAATCAGATAGGAACACATTCCATATATTATTTTAAATAATGACTTAGTAATTTAGAGCTTAGCGGGTTCTGAGCTTTAAAGGTTTCTGAATTATAGGCTGATCTTTGGGGAATAATTGTTTCTAGTAACAGTTTATAGAATTAATTTAAAGTGTGGATGCTAGAGACAAAGTGTTTTTCTTTTTGTTATACTGTGTTATGTTGGTTGAATAAGCAGTGGAAAGAGTGCTGGAATTAGGGAAATGAAAGAGCAGCTAGAATGGAGGTGCTGTAGATGTAAAAAGGCCTTACTTATTAACCTACTGGAAACGATGAGTAGGATAATAGAGGAAATGAGTCAAAATAGACTTTACTATTTTAAGTCTGGGGGTCTGAGAGAACAGTGATGCATTCAGTGGAAATGCAAAAGATTGGAGGTACAGCTTAAGAGGAGCTCAGTTTAGGACAGACTGAATTTAACATGCTTATTAGCTATACAGATGGAAATATCAGTAAATATTGTTGCTCTGATGTTCCTGAATGAATGAGTGTATCAGCTGTATGTTTTGGTGGCCTGTCAAGCTCATTTTCTTTTCTTTAAGAAAAATAATCATTGACCTCTCTTAACACACCTCTCTTTGTTTTTAGTTTTTGATGCAGAGTCTTACTCTTTCACCCAGGCTGGAGTGCAGTGACGCCATCTAGGCTCACTGCAACCTCTGCCTCCTGGGCCCAAGTGATCCTCCCACCTCAGCTTCCTAAGTAGCTGGGACTACAGGCGTGCACCACCATGCCTGGCTAATTTTTGTGTTTTTTTGTAGAGCCCAGGTTTCATCATGCCGATGACTGGTCTCGAATTCCTGAACTCAAGTGGTCTGCCCTCCCCTGCCTCTCAAAGTGCTGAGATTACAGGCATGAGCCATTGCACTTGGCCTGTTTAAAGACCACTCTGAAAGCACTGCTGAGTAGAGAGCTGGCCATGTAACTTGCCTCTCAGCTATAGCTGAATAGATACCTGGCCCAAGTTAGGCTAAATAGGCATCTCTCCTAGGAACCTGAATTTGGGTTTCATAGACATTTCTTATTCTTTAGTTTTCTGTTTAAAATTGGCTTGCAACAGCAGTATGTACACAAAGACTGAGAAATATGCCCAATAAGTAAACAACAGTATTAAGTAATACAAAGAAGTATAGATATGGGAGAACATAGGGAATCGGAGAAAAATGATGTTTTGATAACATATATATGCAAGCAAATTCCCTATGATCAATCAATCTTAATGTAGAAAAAAGTGAATATAGGCATAGCTACTTATACTTGTTTGACTGTATTATGCTTTGGAGACATAGTGGGTTTTTTTGCAAATTAAAGGTTTGATGCAACCTTTCTTCAAGTAAGTCTATCAGTCTTAGTTTTCCAAAAACATATGCTGATTTTACGTCTCTGTGTCACATTTTGGTAATTCTCAACATTTCAAACTTTGTCATTATTATTATATCTTTTATGATGGCTTGTAATCAATGTTCTACTACTCTAATTGTTTTGGGCCACCATGAATCAGGCCCATATAAGGCAGTGAAGTTAAGTGATAAGTGTTATGTGTTTTTCAGTTGCTCTGCTCACTGTCCATTCTCTCATTTCTCTCCCTTTCCTCGGGCCTCCCTATTCTCCAAGATACAACAATATTGAAATTTGCCAACTAATAACTCTACAATGGCCTCTAAGTGTTCTTGTAAAAGCATGAGTCACACATCTTTCACTTTAAATAAAAAGGTAGCAATGATTAAGCTTAGTGAAGAAGGCATATCAAAAGTCAAGACAGGCTGAAAGCTAAGACTCTTGTGCCAAAGAGTTAGTCAAGCTGTGAGTGCAAAGAAAAAAAAGTTCTCAAATATAATTAAAAGTGGTACACAAGTGATAAGAAAATGAAACAGTCTTATTGCTGCTATGGAGAAAGTTCTAGCAGTTTGGATAGGAGAACAAACCAGCCACAATCCTCTGTTAATCCAAAGCTTAATCCTGGCAAGTTCTGAAGCCTCTTCAATTCTACGAAGGCTAAGAGAGTTAAGGAAGCTGCATAACAGAAGTTTGAATCTAACAGAGGTTGGTTCATGATGTTTGAGGAAGGAAGCAATCTCCATAACATAAAAGTGCCAGGTGAAGCAGCAAGTGCTGATGTAGAAGCTATAGCAAGTTATCTAGAAGATCAGAATAAGAAGTTAATTGATGAAAGTAGCTGAACTGAACAACAGATTTTCACAGTAGAAGAAAGAGCCTTCTTTTGGATGAAGATGCCATCTAGGATGTTCATAGCTAGAGAGGAGAAATCAGTGCCTAGCTTCAAAACTTCAAAGGGCAGGCTGACTCTTTTGTTACTGACTAATGCAGCTGGTGGTTTTAAAATGAAGCTGATGTTCATTTACTATCTCCAAAACACTAAGACCCTTAAGCATTATGATACTCTACACGTGCTCTATAAATGGAACAGCAATGCCTGGATGACAACACATCTCTTTACAGCATGATTTATTTAATATTTTAAGCCCACTGTTGAGACCTACTGCTCCAAAAAACATATTCTTTTCAAAATGTTACTGCATATTAAGAATGCACCTGGTCACTCAAGCGCTCTCATGGAGAAGTACAAGGAGATTGATGTTGTTTTTATATCTGCTAATACAATATTCATTCTGCAGCCCATGGATCAAGAAGTAATTTAGACTTTCAAGTCTCATTATTACAAAAAGTTTTGCAAGGCTATAGCTGCCATACATAGCGATTCCTTTGATGGATCTGGACAAAGTACAATGAAAATCTTCTAGAAAGGATTCACCATTTTAAATACCATGAAGAACATTTATGACTCATGGGAGGAGGTTGAAATATTAACCTGAACAAGAGTTTGGAAGAAGTTGATTCTAACTCTCATAGGTGATTTTGAGGGTTTCAAGACTTTAGTAGATAGGATAAGTCACTGCAGATATGTTAGAAAGAGCAAGAGAATTAGAATTTTAAGTGGAACCTGAAGATGTGACTAAATTATTGCAATCTTATAACCAAACTTGAATAGATGAGGAGTTTCTTGTTATAGATGAGCAAAGAAAGTGCTCTTTTAAAAAAAAAAAAAACAGAATCTACTCCTGATGTCTGACATGCTGTGAATGTGAATTAACAACAAATAATATAGAACATTAGATAAACATGCTTGATAAAGTAGCAGCACAGTTTGAGAGGACTGACTCCATTGACTCCAGTTTTACTTATTTATTTGTAGATGAGTTCTCACTATGTTGTCCAGGCTGGAGTGCAGTGACTATTCACAGCCATATAGTGCACTACAGCCTTGAACTCCTGCGGTCAAACAATCCTCTTTTTCAGCCTTCTGAGCAGCTAGAGCTATAGGCATGCCACCATGCCAGGCTTGACTCCTACCAATACCAAGGTTGGGCCCCAAGAACTATATTTTTGCTATGCAACCATAACAGACTCAGAGTTACCTATATTAACCAAGATGGGTTAATTCCCAGTTCCTTTTGCATAATTTGGATCTATTTCAACTTAGTGGCACTGAGAAGAGATGTGATTGTGGCTTTTTCACCTATATTGTCTAGTGGATATTATTTGAACTTGCCAAGGTCCCTAGCACTAGCTTAGATTCTGCCCCTCATGATAGTTGGTTGGGACTTGGATCCTGTAATTTAATTTAGTATCTTTCCATTAAATTTCTTGTTTATTCAAGCAATAATTATTTTTTGATACATGCAAGTAAAAGAAACATATCTAATTCAGTATATGAGAGTATTTTTTTTTTTTGAGGCAGGGTCTTGCTCTTTCACCCAGGCTGGAGTGCAGTGGCGTGATCTTGACTCACTGCAAGCTCCACCTCCCGGGTTCACGCCATTCTCCTGCCTCAGCCTCCCGAGTAGCTGGGACTACAGGCGCCCACCACCATACCCGGCTAATTTTTTTGTATTTTTTTTAGTAGAGACAGGGTTTCACCGTGTTAGCCAGGATGGTCTGGATCTCCTGACCTTGTGATCCGCCCGGCTTGGCCTTCCAAAGTGCTGGGATTACAGGCAAGAGCCACCATGCCTGGTCAGTATATGAGAGTATTAAAAAATAAAGTTCTAATACAAATGGATGTTTGTCAATGGACACTTGATAACCATGCACTTTCCATGTACCAACTACAGAGCTCTATGTAAGCCGTTATTGGGGTTACAACAAGGTAATATGGCATTAATTTCAGCATTTATTTTACATCACTTTCCAGTTTTTGAGGCCCTATCCCTTCAATTATTTTTTTGTCTTCACATTAGTTTTACTCACATTTCACAGATAAAAAATGTTAGAGTAAGGGAGTTTATATGACTTACCCAGGATGATGTGAATAGGTAGTGGCAGGGGTGCTTCATCTCCAGGTTTTCCCATTTCAAAACTCATTTACTTATCTCACTGTATCCATAGTTATCATTTCAAATGGTTATAAAGCATTTTCTAGATATTAATACTTTAATCCAATTTAAAATTAAATAAATTTTAAAAATAAAGTAGAATAAGTCTATCTTAATAGCTTTTAATAAAGCAATGACAATTTGAAATTCATAGAGCTTTAAGATTTTGAGTTAGAAATACTGAAAATTTCTTCATTGTTCTCACATCCCTTACTTAAAGACCCTGCCTTTTCTATAACTTTTGAGTTTGTAGCCCTATGAACTATGTAAACTCAATCCTTTGAGTTCATAGTTTATAAATTTAGAGATCAGTGTTTAACTTAAGCCAGATATAGTTTTATTCTACCAAGATCTTTTATTTAGGGCATACACTAAGTTCTAAGTTCTGCGCACAAGGCCCGTAAGGTCAAATAGACTCAGGAGCTGAGATGGCAATTTAGGGTGGCCATGATGGACAGTGTGCAAATTGCTGAATCAGCTGAGAACGCTAATATGCAAAAACAAAGAAGGTAAATAGAGAAAAGAAGAAATGACAGATCATTTAACTCCAGGGAGAAAGAGAGGGAGAGCAAGAGAAAGTTTATGATGTGATTACTGGTGTGGATGTTTGTCTCCCAGGTATCTTTCTATCAAGGTTGAGATTTACTCACTGTTCTTGCATTCTAAGCGAAATTCCTGTATCCTTCCTTCAAATTCCCCTTGGTTGGAATGGATTTCTGTAATAACATATTCTCTGTTTAAGAAAAAAAAATACTCTAAGATAAAGGGATATTCAGCCCAATTTTCATTTAAATATTACATAAACAAATGGCCATAATATATAAAGTGATCTATCAATAATGAATGAAATGCAAGTTTGTGTCTCTACACATTTTATTTTAAATGACATTCTGGATACTATCTTCAACTTACAATATAAACAATATAAATTCCTTTTACATCATTATTTATAAAATAATGCATGAAATAATTTCCTATTTCTGAAGTACTGCCAAACAAAGTATAAACAGCCTTGTCAAATCATAAATATTGACTGTATGTGATAGCAGCTTGGTAGTTCTCCAAACAAAGGTATCATGTTGCCCTCTGAATTAGATTCCTAGGAGCTGCAATAAACAGCAAACAGGATGGCTTAAAACAACAGTAATTTATTTCCTCACAGTTCTAGAGGCCAGAAGTCGCTGAAGACACTAGGGAAGAATCTGTTCCCTTCCTTTGTCTTAGCTTCGTGTGTTGCTGGCAGTCCTTGGCATTCCTGTTTTGTAGATGCATCACTCTAATTTCTGTCTCTGTTGTCACATGGTGTCCCTTCAGTGTGTCTCATTCTGTCTCTTCTCCTTTTCTTATAAGGGCACCGTTTCTATTGGATTTGTGCCTATCCTAATTCAATATGACCTCATCTTAACTTGAATTCACCTGCAAAGACCCAATTTCCAAATAAGATCACCTTCATAAGTACAATGGCTTAGGACTTCAACATATTTTTTTGGTGGACACAATTCAACTCATAACACCTTCAGGAGAAGGGAAAATCATGCTAAACAGGTAGTAAAAACAGATATCACTAACAGAAACATTACTCCTCCTACACAGAAAATGCTTCTTGGCATTAAAAACAAAATTAAATATAATATGATAAATAATAAGCAATATGGACAGATCGAAATTATCTTTCCATCTTCCGTGGTAAGTAAATATATTGTTTGAGTTTCTCAGGTAACAACTGCCTATCACAGAAAGAAGGGAAGGATTGATAGAAGAAGGAAACACACTTCCTTATCAACTTGACAAGGTAAAAGCTATGCTACTGAGTTTTTGTCATCTAAGTGAGAGTAAATACTAGATTATGATACATAGGACTTTGATGTAAAGGATCTCATTGCTCACCAGGTCAACTTACAAGTGGCCTGATACAGTGACCCACACATGACACTGAATGAGAGTTAGCATGTGTTCAAAGGAAAGAGGCTGAAATCTGAGCGGCTTGCTGACTCAAATCACTCTCTTGTACCCTCTGTCCATACTTTCATTGAGAAAATGGCTTAAAAAGAACAAAAAAACTGCATTAAAAAATGAAGAAGGAATGAGATGATGTCCTTTGCAGGGATGTGGATGGAACTGGAAACCATTATCCTCAGCAAACTAACACAGGGAGAGAAAACCAAACACCGCATGTTCTCACTTATAAGTGGGAGCCGAATAGTGATAACACATGGATCCAGGGAGGGGAGCAACACACACTAGGGTCTGTCTGGGCTGGGGGTTGGGGGAGGGAGAGCATCAGGAAAAATAAATAGCTAATGCATGCTGGGCTTAATACCTAGGTGGTGGGTTGATATGTGCACCAAACCACCATGGCACACATTTACCTATGTAACAAACCTCCACATCTGGCACATGTACACCAGAAATTAAATTAAAAAATAAAGCAGTCATAGACAGTTTTAAAGGACTAATTATGCTGTGTTCCAATAAAACTTTAATTACAAAAAAAATGAGAAAAAGAGCAACAACCACAAAATTAGCAGGGGACTTAAGGAAAGATATGTAAAGATGAGTCAAAAACAAAATGAACAAGACAACTAAAACAGAGATAAAAAGCATGCATGATAATAATTTTATAACAATGCAGATGAGAAGGATGGTCAAGGGTTAACAATGGAGTTTTACAGGAACACTGACTAATCAGAATGGGCACCAGCCAATCAAAATGGACCCTTATGTTTTCTGGAGCTTAAAGGAGACATCATTCCTGGTGACGTGGAATAAAGGAAGAGGTGATAAGGCATGGAAACAGATGAAATGCCAGCTGGAATATGTCCGAATACGTGGAAATATAAGAGTTATAATGTCACTTTAGAATCTGACTAAAGAATGGACAATGCTAAAAACAGGGACATTTAGTATGGATACGAGAAAATCAAGCAAAGTAAATGGGGGAAGAGTAATAGATACGGAAGAAAAAGGAGATTCAAAGTAAATAAAATTGAAGTTTCCTGAAGAAAAGGTTGGAATGTGTATTAAAGGTTATAGAGGACAACGTTCCTCATAATAAGTCTTATAAGGAGTTGACCAGGCACATTCAACATTGTTGGGTATTTTATTTATCTTTCTGGATATTAAAGAACTCTGTTGGAAAGGATACTTCCTTGAAACTGAAAAAAAAATTCTATGGGGGCATCAGGGCCAAAACTCACATTACATGTAGGAAAGTTACATCTCTATAGCAACATTCAATGGGAGAAGACAGTGGTATAAATTCTACAAAGTTCTTGGCAAGAGACATAGTGTGCAAGTCATACAAACTCATGGAATATTATTCATAAACTCTTCTTTAAAACAAACAAAAATATAAACCTTGATATTATATTCTCACCAATAAACATGAATAGGAACTCTATCTAACCAGCTTCAACCATAGAACTCTGGGGGAAAGTAGGGTGGAGGGAGGGGCAGGGCAGCATTCACTGCTGAGACCACATCCGAGTCATTAAGTCTCACTACTATCAATAATAATGCTGGCAAACTGCTACAGATTACCCCAGATCTTCTCAGACTCACAGTTACAAAGCAATGCTATTAAGCAATATGTTTCATGCCTTGAGTAAGGGTCAATGCCATGAAGGAAACTCAGTAAAGCATCACTGGCCAAAAAATCTACACCTGTTGAGGTAAATTCTAGCAGCACAGTTTCCATCCCAGTATTACTGAGAATTTTGGGGGGTTGTATACTCATAATACATACCTCCAAATCTTAGGATGCACGTATACTCAGTTCCAGATTGTCTTGCAGAATAGCTGCATCAATGTACACCCTCAATTACTACACAGGAATTCTTGACTAACCATATTATTGCCAACACTACTAGGTAATATTACTTTTCTACTATATAGAAATAAAATACTTTTTTGATGTTTAATTTTCTCATTTAACAACACAATATTTAATGATGATGGGGAGATTCAGCATTTCTTTACTTTCATGTTGATACTTCCATGAAATTGCTGTTCATCTTCTTTTATCCTTATACTGAATTTTCTATAATTATCTTCCATATTTTGAGAAGTTTTTGGTACATATTAATACCAACTATCTATTTTGTAGAATTAATCTCATAACTTGGAAATATTTTCTTTTATTTTATCTATTTTTTTCACTTTGTGATTGAATAGAACAGGCTCTAATTTTGCTATAGTCAAATCCTTCTTTTTATGTTCCCAGATTTTGTGCATTTGAGACCTTTTTGAATAAATCTATCCTATTCCTAAATCTGGTTCTTTTACCATTTTTTATTTCTAGAAAAATTTTATACATTTTAATGCACGTAAAGCCCACTTTTGTATGTATTTATATTAAAGAATAATTGCCTTTAGTATGCTAATTCTCCCAATATCAATCTACCAAGCAATCTGTGATTTCCATTGCTTTTTGTTATCATTGTTACTATAATTTCAAATATGTCAACTACATATCAGAACTCTATGTTTTATTCCATTTGTTTCCTCAAGAGGCGATTCCACACTATCTCCATTACTTGGACTTGGCATTATGGCTAATTATCTGGTATAAAGAATTTGTCTCTGTAATTCTCCTTTATTTAAGCTGGATTAGCTCTCTATTGAAATTTTTTGTCTTTTTACTTGTATTTTTCAATGAGCAATACACATTCCAGCTGAAATTGTGATTGAGATGTATTGAATCTGTAGATAAACTTGAGGCAATTGTCATTTTTTCCATGTTACATCATATTAACATTGTATATTATATCCCTACATTATTTAAATGTTCCTTTATTTCTTATATTCAAATTTTAACTTTTTTTACAGGATCTTTTATTTTCACAAATAAATTTAAACAGCATGTGTTTTATAACCTTCCTGTTATGCAATAAAGTAAACGGAATATGTGGAAATATATGACAGATGATAAATCATAATCAACATATATTTCTCAGTCCAAATACATTTTTCCTACTAATATTACCAATTTTACAGTTTTGTATAGTGTTTATATGCAATCATTATAATTTGTATATTTATATAATGTACTTATATACATTTATATTGAAATAATATAAATGTTTGTATAAAATAAATATATATATATAAACATGAAATAAATACTAAAATTACTTTATTCCCACTAGGTAAATGTAAACTGTTATTTGTCCATTTTTATAGATTTAAAATAATAGGGCTTTATACTGTTAATACTATGCTTAAATTGAAAAGATGAAGCTCCTAAAATATTATAAAATAATTGTGGGTAATTTTAATATTATGGTCATTATTTCTTTCCTTCTGAAAAATAAAAACTACAGTTAACATTATATGAGAAAAAAACTTGCAGGGATAAAAGTATGTCACATATGGCCAAATCTATCCATAATTAATATTTGCTGTTTTATAACCACTGGAATTCAATGTAGATAATTACCTCATAAGAATAAAAAGAATAGTTTGCATTTATGAAATGCAAATAAAATGGTTAGTATATGCAACATTGTATTTTCTGGCTGATAAATTTATAAAGAAAAATAACTGAAAAGATTTGGTGATAGATGAATACCTTACTCTTAGAAAATAGTATAAAGCATGAACTTATTTGACTTAAATTATGATTTTTAGGCACATAATTGTTAATTATTAATTTCTTTTGATGAAAAGATCAAATGGAATGAGTACAGAAAACTGTGATATTTATACTCTATATCACATGATAACTCACACATTATTTTGAGTTTGAATGTATTTTCGAATGATTTGGCTTCTTTTTTTGTTGTTTTAAAAAATTGCCAAAGTCACATAAACCTATGTTATAGCTATTTATTTTTATCTAGCTTTCTGGCCACTTCTTATTATGTAATCAGGCTTTTTACTCTCCTGGGATGTAAGTCTTAAAGAGCTCACAAACACATGTAAAAGGATTTAGATTCTCTCCTTGAGCTAACAGGTTATTCTATAGTTCCTTTTTCTTCTTTTTTTTGTCTTTTTTTTTGAGTCATAACTGATATCTGCTAACAGAAATTTTTCACTCACGTTATTTAAAATTTATAATTATTTTAAAGTAAGCATTTAGGCATCTTGATGTATACCGTACCAGAACATTGAGAACTAGAGACCTAAATTTGAAAAGCAATACTTTAAAATATTTAGAAGAAATATCTAAAAAAATAGACTTGTTGATTTGAGAAAACAAAATATTTCTTTAAAATGATTTTTTATTTAAAAAGCAAGCACAAATTATTAAAATATTGATTACTTTGCTTATAATGACATAATTTACATATATTTGTGCTTATAAATAAAGGACAAGCTACAGACAGGAAGACACATTTCCAAAAATCACAAAAACTAGGTTTGCAATTGAGAACTTGAAAAAATTTCTGAGTCGATTAAGAAAAAAACAAAAGGTAAATCATACATTGCAAATATTATAATTAGACAGTTAACAGTAAAGAAAAACAAATAGTCAATAAATGTATTATGCTGAAATTTATTACTAATTTTACTAATCAGGTATCATTTCACACCTATCAGAAAAAAGACCTGGGCATCTTGGCCAGTATTATGAGAAACAAGAGAAATTCTTACTTCCCCATGAGAAGTTTGAATAATATAGTATATATTCAAAAGCATGTGTTCTAGAATTAGTCCTTTTCTGTTTCAAAACTGTTATACCCCTTAGCTTTATATGCTTTGAGCAAGCTACTTATCTTGCTATGAGACAATGCTCTATGTGTCTCCTGCATTTCTGCATGTCCTGTGAGTAGAGCACTAAGTACTCTTCATTCAGAATTTTTGAGGATATTTAGTAAACAGTCTTTGAAGATACAATGTCTCCCTCTGGAACAAAGGGCAGGGCAGGCACACTTTTAGCCTATTATTAAAGGTTCTTGAAGCTCAATGTTCCTCTTCTATCCTGCAGCCCACTGCACATGCTGACATTGCATGACCCTTCTCATGGGAATTGGGTTTTGGGGAGTCACTGCAATAAATGCTGATACTATGGCTACTGTTATTGCTATAAGAAAAAAATGGTCCTTTGTCTAACCTAGAAGTCTTATGTCTTCTACAGGTGAATCTTTGGTAGACTAACTAGTGAGCTTGCAAGTGGGGTGACATCTCAGACCTTTACAATCCATTGCAAATGTCTCTGCTTAACTTGTTTTTATCATCTGTATAATGGCAGTGTGTGTGTGGAAATATTTTTTATTCATAGGACGGTAATATTTACCTAAATTAAAATGCAAACTGTTTAGAACAGTGTTTTGGTACCAAGTAAGTGTTCAACATTATTCTGTGAATGTGAAGTTCCAAAAACTATCCAGTAAATATTTTTCTCCCATTCTGTAGGTTGTCTCTTCACTTGGTTGATTGTTTCCTTTGCTGTGTTTTTCCTTGATATAATCCATTGGTCAATTTTTGCTTATGTTGCCTGTGCTTTTCAGCTCTTACTTCAATGGCTTTGCCTGGACAAATGTTCTAAAGCATTTCCCCAAAGTTTTCTTCTTGTAGTTTTCTAGCTTCAGGTCTTACATTTAAGTCTTTAATACATTTTGGCTTTAATTTTTGTATATGATGAGATATAGGAATCTAGTTTATTTGCTCTGTAGATGAACAGCACAATTTATTGAAAAAACTGCCCTTTCTTCAATGTGTGTTCTTGGTGTCTTTGTTGAAAATGTGTTGGTTGTAAATGCGGGATTTATTTCTGGGTTCCCTGTTTTGTTGCATTGGTCTATGTATCTGTTTTATGCTAGTTCCATGGTGTTTTGGTTACCAGAGTTTTATAGTATATTTTGAAGTCAGGTAGTGTGATGCTTCCAGCTTTATCTTTGTGTTCAAGATTATTTTGGCTATTTGAGGTCTTTTGTGACTCCAAGAGAATTTTAGGATTGTTTATTCTACTTTCGTGAAGAAGATCATTGGTATTTTGAGAGGAATTGCATTAAATCTTCAGATCAGTTTGGGTAGGATTAACATTTTTAACAACATTAATTTTCCCAAACCATGAACATGGACTATCTTTTCACTTATTTTGTGTCCTCTTTAATATCTTGCATCAATGTTTTATAGTTTTAATTGTAGAAATCTTCACTTCTTTGGGTAAATTTATTCTTAGGTATTTTTTGAAGTTATGTGAACAGAATTGCTTTCTTGATTTCTATTTCAGATTGTTCATTGTTGCCATATAGAAATGCTACTTATTTGTATATATCGATTCTGTATCCTGGAAATTTATTGAATTCATTTATCAGTTATAAGAGCTTTTTGGTAGAAGCTTTGTGTGTTCTTAAATATAAGATTATGTCATCTGCAAACAAGGACAAGGGATTAATAACTAAAATATATAAATAAGCCAAACAATAGCAAAAAAAATCTGATTTAAAAATGGGCAAAATATGTGAATAAACATTTCTCAAAAGAAAACATACAAATGGCCAACAGTTGTATAAACATGTTTAACATCCCTAATCATTAACAAACTGCAATTCAAAACCACACTGACATACCATCTAGTCTCAGTTAAAATAGCTGTTATCAAAAAGATGGAAAATAATAGATGCTGGTGAGAATGTGGAGAAAGGGGAATGCTTGTACTACTGGTGGAAATGTGAATCAGCATAGAAACTATGGAAAACACTATTGAGGCAGCTCAAAAAACTCAAAATAGAGTTGCCTTATGTTCCCACAATCTCACTACTGAGTATATATCCAAAAGGAAGGAAATCAGTATATAAAAGAGATATCCGCACATCCACATTTATTGCACAATATTCACAATATTCAAGATATAGAATCAACCTAAATGTTTACCAACAAATGAATGGATTAAAAATATGGTATATGTTTGCAATGGAATATTCTTTAGCCATAAGAAAGAATGAAATCCTAACATTTGCAGCAACATGGATGGAACTGGAGGACATTGAGTTAAGTGAAATAAACCAGGCAGAGAAAAATAAAATATCACATATTCTCACTCATATTTGGAATCTAAAAAATTTGATCTTATGGAAGTAATAAGTAGAGTGATGGTGACCAAAGGCGGGGAAGGGTGAGGTTGGGGTTGTGTGAAAAGAAGATAGTTAATGAGTATTAAAATACAGTTTAAGTAGAAAGTATGAATTCTAGTGTTCAATAGCACTTTAGGATGACTGGAGTTAACAATAACTTATTACATATTTTAAAGTAGGTAGAAGACAAGATTGGGAATTTTCTAATACAAATAAATAATAAATGTTTGAAGTGGTGAATATGCAAATTACTCTGGTTTTACACATTGTACACATGTATTGAAATATTATATGTATGCCAAGAATATTTACAACTATTCTGTATCAATAAAAATTACGAAACATTAATTACTATTTCCTTTCTATAGATGTATATATGTGTAATAACACAATTTTAAAATATGTAATAATGGACTCCAAATTAATTGTAGTTGTTAATGGGAGGTAAGAAGACAAATGGGATCAAGAGGCATTGTGCAGAGTGCTTTGGCTCTATCTACTCTATTGTAGTGTTTTTTTAAAAAGTCTCTGAAAACAACACAAAAAATATGTTAAGATTTCAAAAGGCTGACTGTTGTGAACATGGTTTTTTACTTTATCACTATATATACTCACATATATATTGAAAATATTTTATAAAATACATTTTTTAAATATATGCAGCACGTTATTTTGAGTGACAATTTTAGGACTCCAGAGTTGTTATTTTTTAAATGTGAAACAGCACATTTAGAAAAAACTTTCTACTTATTTGAAAGACAATCTAAACCACTGTTACCATTTTACCTATTTTCCTAGCTCTTTATTTTTATTCATAATTTTTTTTCCTGGCACCTCCTTAGCTTATTACATTCTGTGACAGTTGCAAAGATGATCATAGATTTTTGACACTCTTTACATCTTCTCCCTGGTCTAAATGACTTGCTTGTAATTACTGAATGCACCTGCAGGGACCCCAAGAGCAGGTCACTGATGCCATGCAGCTTCCACCCTGCTTGCTAGACTACCGACTCTTGGAACCCTGAGCTACCACGTAAAACATCAAAGTACTCTGAGTCTACTGTGCTGAGATTGACCCAAGTGCACGTTCTCTGGGACACTCAAGTCCAATGCCAGACATGTGAAAAGCATCATACATCTGACCCTTGCCCTCAGATATTTAAGTCATCCCTTTCCTCTCCCACTCCCATCCCACCTAGTCTCCTGAGTTTGTGTAGCAGAGAAAAACCATCCCCACTATGGCCTCACAGAATTCCTTTGAACATAATAGAATGTTTATTGTTGCTCACTGATATGGTTTGGCTGTGTGCCCAGCAAATCTCATATTGAATTCCCACCTGTTGTGGGAGGGACCTGGTGTGAGGTAATCAAATCATAGGGGCAGATCTTTCCTGTGCTGTTCTCGTGATAGTGAATAAGTCTTATGAGATCTGATGATTATATAAGGGGGAGTTTCCCTGCACAAGCTCTCTTCTCTTGTCTGCTGCCATGTAAGACATACCTTTCCCCTTCTGCCATGATTGTGAGCCATCCCCAGCCACAAGGAACTATGAGTTCTCCATTAAACCTTTTTCCTTTGTAAATTGCCCAGTCTCAGGTATGTCTTTATCAGCAGCATACACTAAGTACACTAAGTACTTACTAATACACCAAGTTTGCGCATGTTCATATGTGGCAATAGATAACTAATAAGCTTCCCTTAAAAATATCTTATTTGATGGTTACAATGGTGGTAGAGGTAAGCTGAGTGTACATGTCATTTAAACAAAGTCAGCATTTGTGCAGATGATCAGAGTACAAGAATAAGGAGTACAACAAGGAGCAGCAAAGGATGGCTGAAATAAAAACAAAATCGGAAAAAAATTCAAAATGATACTGAGCATGGTAATGTGGTTTGGTATGAGGTAACTGTTGGAAAAACATGAGAATATTTTGAGTTCAACACCTATAAAACCAAAATGGTCATAACTGAAACGTGTTAGCATTTGATTAAGTTATAGGCAGCAATTTCAGAAAGTCAAATTATTTAATTAACCAGGGATGAATCTAGTCTTTTTCCCCCTTTTGTGAGATTTTATCAGAATATTGTAATGCTTAAAATTATATTTCTATGAATATATAATTTGGATGTAATAGGAATAAATACGTTATTATTATTTTTCCTTTTGATAGGTTGTTGGTAACACCTGTTCTCTGAGTTGTTCAAGCTAAATCTTTATAAAGCAAGTGCTGAAATTTGGGATCTTCCATCATATTATTTCATTTCCAAATTAATAGACTTTATTTATATAGAGTCATCTATCAATTTCTGTTTTTGAGAAAATCCAAATCATTTTCTGAGGAAATTTTTGCTCGCCCATAGAACCTCTTTTTCTCAGGTTCCTATTTTGATTAGATATTTATTTATATTAAAAATAAAAGAGGACAGCTTTGTTCCTTTTCATTGATTTTATTATTAGTCAAACAAATGTAAGTTCTTTAGATTTTTACTAGAAATTATAACTTTACACTTTCTGCAGCTAAAACTTATCCAAAATTGTGTATGATAACTACATGAAAGCTTTTCTTTCTTTTTTTTATTATTATACTTTAACTTTTAGGGTACATGTGCAGGTTAGATACATATGTATACATGTGCCATGTTAATGTGCTTTTTTTATTATTATATTTTAACTTTTAGGGTACATGTGCAGGTTAGTTACATATGTATACATGTGCCATGTTGGTGTGCTGCACCCATTAACTCGTCATTTAACATTAGGTATATCTCCTAATGCTATCCCTCCCCACTATCCCCACCCAACAACAGGCCCCAGTGTGTGATGTTCCCCTTCCTGTGTCCATGTGTTCTCATTGTTCAACTCTTTCCTATGAGTAAGAACATGCGGTGTTTGGTTTTTTGTCCTTGCGACAGTTTGCTGAGAATGATGGTTTCCAGCTTCATCCATGTCCCTAGAAAGGGCATGAACTCATCCTTTTTTATGGCTGCATAGTATTCCATGGTGTATATGTGCCACATTTTCTTAATCCAGTCTATCACTGTTGGACATTTGTCTTGGTTCCAAGTCTTTGCTATTGTGAATAGTGCCACAATAAACATATGTGTGCATGTGTCTTTATAGCAGCATGATTTATAATCCTTTCGGTATATACCCAGTAATGGGATGGCTGGGTCAAATGGTATTTCTAGTTCTAGATTCCTGAGGAATTGCCACACTGACTTCCACAATGGTTGAACTAGTTTACAGTCCCACCAACACTGCAAAAGTGTTCCTATTTCTCCACATCCTCTCCAGCACCTGTTGTTTCCTGACTTTTTAATGACGGCCATTCTAACTGGTGTGAGACAGTATCTCACTGTGGTTTTGATTTGCATTTCTCTGATGGCCAGTGATGATGAGCATTTTTTCATGTGTTTTTTGGCTGCATAAATGTCTACTTTTGAGAAATGTCTGTTCATATCCTTTGCCCACTTTTTCATGGGGTTGTTTGTTTGTTTGTTTGTTTTTGTAAATTTGTTTGAGTTCATTGTAGATTCTGGATAGTAGCCCTTTGTCAGATGAGTAGATTGCAAAAATTTTCTCCCACTCTGTAGGTTGCCTGTTCACTCTGATGGTAGTTTCTTTTGCTGTGCAGAAGCTCTTTAGTTTAATTAGATCCCATTTGTCAATTTTGGCTTTTGTTGCCATTGGTTTTGGTGTTTTAGACATGAAGTCCTTGCCCATGCCTATGTCCTGAATGGTATTGCCTAGGTTTTCCTCTAGGGTTTTTATGGTTTTAGGTCTAACATGTAAGTCTTTAATCCATCTTGAATTAATTTTTGATTAAGGTGTAAGGAAGGGATCCAGTTTCAGCTTTCTACGTATGGCTAGCCAGTTTTCCCAGCACCATTTATTAAATAGGGAATCCTTTCCCCATTGCTTGTTTTTGTCAGGTTGGTCAAAGATCAAATAGTTGTAGATATGTGGCATTATTTCTGAGGGCTCTGTTCTGTTCCATTGATCTATATGTCTGTTTTGGTACCAGTACCATGCTGTTTTGGTTACTGTAGCCTTGTAGTATAGTTTGAAGTCAGGTACCGTGATGCCTCCAGCTTTGGTCTTTTGGTTTAGGATTGACTTGGTGATGCAGGCTCTTTTTTGGTTCCATATGAACTTTAAAGTAGTTTGTTCCAATTCTGTGAAGAAAGTCATTGGTAGCTTGATGGGGATGGCATTGAATCTATAAATTACCTTGGGCAGTATGGCCATTTTCATGATATTGATTCTTCTTACCCATGAGCATGGAATGTTCTTCCATTTGTTTGTATCCTCTTTTATTTCATTGAGCAGTGGTTTGTAGTTCTCCTTGAAGAGGTCCTTCACGTCCCTTGCAAGTTGGATTCCTAGGTATTTTTATTCTCTTTGATGCAATTGTGAATGGGAGTTCACTCATGATTTGGCTCTCTGTTTGTCTGTTATTGGTGTATAAGAATGCTTGTGATTTTTGCTCATTGATTTTGTATCCTGAGACTTTGCTGAAGTTGCCTATCAGCTTAAGGAGATTTTGGGCTGAGACGATGGGGTTTTCTAGATATACAATCATGTCATCTGCAAACAGGGACAATTTGACTTCCTCTTTTCCTAATTCAATGCCCTTGATTTCCTTATCCTGCCTGATTGCCCTGGCCAGAACTTCCAACACTATGTTGAATAGGAGTGGTGAGAGAGGGCATCCCTGTCTTGTGCCAGTTTTCAAAGAGAATGCTTCCAGTTTTTGTCCACTCAGTATGATATTGGCTGTGGCTTTGTCTTAGATAGCTCTTATTATTTTGAGATACGTCCTATCAATACCTAATTTATTGAGAGTTTTTAGCATGAAGGGCTGTGGAATTTTATCAAAGGCCTTTTCTGCATCTATTGAGATAATCATGTGGTTTTTGTCTTTGGTTCTGTTTATATGCTGGATTACGTTTATTGATTTTCGCACACTGAACCAACCTTGCATCCCAGGGATGAAGCCCACTTGATCATGGTGGATACGCTTTTTGATGTGCTGCTGGATTCAGTTTGCCAGTATTTTATTGAGGATTTTTGCATCAATGTTCATCAAGGATATTGGTATAAACTTCTCTTTTTTGGTTGTGCCTCTGCCAGGCTTTGGTATCAGGATGATGCTGGCCTCATAAAATGAGTTAGGGAGGATTCCCTCTTTTTCTATTGGTTGGAGTAGTTTCAGAAGGAATGGTACCAGCTCCTCCTTGTACCTCTGGTAGAATTCACCTGGTCCTGTGAATCCATCTGGTCCTGAACTTTTTTTGGTTGGTAAGCTATTAATTATTGCCTCAATTTCAGAGCCTGTTATTGGTCTATTCAGAGATTCAACTTCTTCCTGGTTTAGTCTTGGGAGGGTGTATGTGTCGAGGAATTTATCCATTTCTTCTAGATTTTCTAGGTTATTTGTGTAGAGGTGTTTATAGTATTCTCTGATGGTAGTGTGTATTTCTGTGGGATCGATGGTGATATCCCCTTTATCATTTTTATTGTGTACATTTGATTCTTCTCTCTTTTCTTCTTTATTAGTCTTGCTAATGGTCTATCAATTTTGTTGATCTTTTCCAAAAAACCAGCTCCTGGATTCATTGATTTTTTGAAGGGTTTTTTGTGTCTCTATTTCCTTCAGTTCTGCTGTGATCTTAGTTATTTCTTGCCTTCTGCTAGCTTTTGAATGTGTTTGCTCTTGCTTCTCTAGATCTCTTAATTGTGATGTTAGGGTGTCAATTTTAGATCTTTCCTGCTTTCTCTTGTGGGCACTTAGTGCTATAAATTTCCCTCTACACACTGCTTTGAATGTGTCCCAGAGATTCTGGTATGTTGTGTCTTTGTTCTCGTTGGTTTCAAAGAACATCTTTTATAAATGGGAGTTTTATAAAGGCGAGATGTGATAGTTTTATAAATGGGAGTTCCCCTGCCTTACAAGCTGCCTTTCCTGCCACCATGTAAGACATGCCTTTGCTTCTTTTTTGCCTTTCATCATGATTTTGAGGCCTCCCAGCCATGTAGAACTGAGTCCATTAAACCTCTTTCCTTTATAAATTACCCAGTCTCAGGTGTGTTTTTAGTAGCAGCATGAGAACAAATTAATACAGTAAATTGGTGCCAGCAGAGAGTAGGGTACTGCTGTAAAGATACCCAAAAGTTGTGGAAGTGATTTTGGAACTGGGTAACAGGCAGAAGTCGGAACAGTTTGCGGGGATCAGAAGAAGACAGGAAGATGTGGGAAAGTTTGGAACTTCCTAGAGACTTGTCAAATAGCTTTGACCAAATGCTGCTCATCTCAGATGGAGATGAAGAACTTGTTGGATACTGGAATAAAGGTGACTCTTGCTATGTTTTAGCAAAGAGACTGGAAGCATTTTGCCCCTGCCCTAGAGATTTGTGGAACTTTGAACTTGAGAGAGATGATTTAGGGTATCTGGTGGAAGAAATTTCTAAGCAGCAAAGCATTCAAGATATGACTTGGGTGCTGTTAAAGGCATTCAGTTTTAT